>NT_187519.1:759715-911658 GCF_000001405.40 Homo sapiens | reverse complement strand
GAATTCTCTTTTGGCCAGGTGAAGTATGAGGTACATGCAAGACATTCAGTTCAGCAGGTGATCAAACAAGGCAGGTCAGAGCTTGAGACTTAAGCAAACAGCATCAAACATGCCCAGTCGCAGTAACAAAATTTCAAAATAAAAAGAACCCAATGAAAAGCCTCTTTAATAAGTTTTAATAATCCTGTACAATAAAACTCTAAAGCATCAGGGTTTTTTCTTATTCAGTATACAGTGAACATTAAAAAAAAGTGTTGAATAGTTGAGAGGCAAATTTAGTGTTTTAGAACATGATAATAGCATGTGGCTTGCTAGTTGCTTATGGATAACCCAACTTTCTAATAGTTTTCGTAAGTTACTAGAACACAAGCTTTATTAAAATTATAAACATTATATCCATTTTCTTTAATAAAGAGTAATAAAGATTCTCCTCCCTAGCTCCAATTAGGACTTTGATAGTCTCACGAGATTCCCACTCCCACTTTCCCAGATTAAGAGAGCACAAGCAACTGCTTTTACAAATGTCCTCTAAAGATCCCTCCCAAAGGGAAATGCTCATGACAATGAAAAATGGAGTAGGAAGAGAAGGAGATGATGTATCTCAACTTCATTTATACCTACTAACCTATTTTCTCCCTATGATAATGTTTTTTTTAATTGTCAAATAAAAACTGTGGCCAGGGGCAGTGGCTCACGCCTGTAATCCCAGTACTTTGGGAAGCCAAAGTGGGCAGATCACAAGGTCAAGAAATCGAGAACATCGTGGCCAACATGGTGAAACCCTGTCACTACTAAAATACAAAAAATTAGCTGGGCATGGTGGCACATGCCTGTAGTCCCAGCTACTCCGGAGGCTGAGGCAGGAGAATCGCTTGAACTCAGGAGGTGGAGCTTGCAGTGAGCCGAGATTGCGCCACTGCACTCCAGCCTGGGTGACAGAGCAAGACTCCGTCTCAGAAAAAACTGTATATATTTATGGTGTATACCCTGATATTCTGATATACTTACACATTGTGCAATGACTACGTCAAGATAATTAACACATCCATCACCTCACATACTTTTTTGCATGTGTGATGAGAGCATTTAAAATCTCCTCTCAGCAATTTTCAAGGATACAATCCATCATTATTAGCTAGAGTCACTATGCTGTACAATAGATCTCTGGAACTTACTCTCTAACTGAAACTTCCTACCCTTTGACCAACATCTCCCCATTCCCCGGGCACACTAACCTATTTTTATGATGTGCGTCTGATGCTATTTTTTAAAAATTGATTGTGTCCTGAATTCTTTCAGCTCTCAGGCCTTTAGATGATGGTGCTTCTTTTTCAAATGATAACAATGACCTAGCAACCTGTGCAAATTATTAAATCTTTCAAAACGTGCTCGTTTTTCTAAGGGAATAATATATGTGCGGAGAGCCTGTCTTATTACAAAAATGCTCTTGAGATTCCTTCAACTGCTCTAAATAAATAGTTGCAGGGCTCATATTTGCACACACTCAGTTTCAATATCAGGATGCCACTATAAAAAGAACCCACCCAAACATGCCTTTAATACATTTTAAGAATTCTATATAATAAAAATCTGAAGGCCGGGCATGGTGGCTCACGTCTGTGATCCCAGCACTTTGAGAGGCTGAGGTGGGCGGATCACCTGAGGTCAGGAGTTCAAAGCCAGCCTGGCCAACATGGTGAAACCCCGTCTCTACTAAAAATACAAAAATTAGCCGGATGTGCTGGTGGGTGCCTGTAATCCCAGCTACTCGGGATGCTGAGGCAGGAGAATTGCTTGAACCCAGGAGGCAGAGGTTACAGTGAGTCGAGATCTCACCACTGCACTCCAGCCTGGGCAACAGAGTGAGATTCTGTCTCAAATAAATAAATAAATAAATAAATCTGAAGCCTAAGGCTTTTATAGAGTAAAAATATCACATGATCTCAATATCCTTCATAATAGATTGTTAAGTTTCATTGCACTATGTGAGACAGGTCAGTATTCAGTTCTCATTCTTTCCAGGGGTAAAGGAATACACAGAAATCAGGCGATATGTGGTAACGTAGAAAGCAGCTGTGTCAAAACTAGAATTTACAACTTTTAATTCTTAATACTCAGGCTATTCAAGCCACAGTCCTGCAAAGTCTGCTTTCCCGATAATAAATGTTAACTACATTATTTATCTGAATTGTAAAATGAAATCTACCATAGAATTCCATTTATTGCTTTAACTAGAAAATTGAAAAAATACAATCCAGGTGAATACAAATATTAAAACTGTAGATAATCTTTTTTTACAAATTGAAAACAGCTTAATTAAACCAACAGAGCAGGTAAGGCAATTCTGTTATTTAATGACAACCCTCATCTGTTTGAAATAACCACCTTAATAATCAATACCGTGTTGAGACTTTCACCTAGCATTTATTTTAAGGGATGTCTTGTTTTGAACAATCATTTTAAATCCTAGTAAACTGAAGAATTAATTATCAAGCACGGAGGCTCAGCAAACTAATGCTTTAGTCTGTCAAACCATCTGCTCAGGAGCACCCTTCTCCAAATCTTGGCATTATTGAGGATGGGGGAGCACACTGCTTTCGATGCTTCTGCTGGTATACAAGTTGCTCCTTGATATTTAACCATTCCATCTTCCAAATACACAGGAAGAAATTCAATCTCAGAAAGAAGTTCATCAAAGTTCTGGCTCCCTTGGCACTCACAGTTAGCACCACAGTAAAGCTAAGCTTTCTTTAAGGGCAGGGACCACATGTTAAGATAGCTTATCTATGCAAATGAGTATTGTCCCTCTCAAAGTAGGGTCTATTTTAATCCAACAATTCTTCTATTCGTGTCATTTTAAAAATTCCATTCTTGGAATTTTCTTTCACATTATTTTGCATATTTATTCTCAAACAGTGGGAAAGAATCCTAATCTATTTAATATGGTTGGGTATTTCATGGTAAAATGTTATATAATTGTACACACCAACAAGACAAAATTTTATTTTATTGTTTTTAAACTGACTCAGGAGGCAATTCAAAAAAGGACTTCCAAAAATATGTTGAGCCAAAGACAACATGATTTGAATAAATATATAGCTTCTTCTGGGGGCTGCTTATATTTGGGTGTAAAGTACTATCTCAAAAAAAAAAAAAGAGTTTCATGTCCCTAAATATACCCCAAATATTGACCAATTGAAGTGTAAACCTGTTGCTTCCCTCTTCTGATAACAGTACACTGATCTCCTTTGAAAAAAGCCCCTCTCACCCACTCTCAGTCCATTTAGCCTGGGGAGGGCTGGGGCGGGGGCAAGGGAAGTGCACAATTCAGACCAGATCAACCAGGCACATTCCATCACCCATGGCTGCAATAATTGGTTCAGGGATGGGCCCTAACCCCAAGCTAGGCTAATGAAATTTAGTTCCAGGACTGTGGCTGAAATTACTGAAAGAGATAAACTTGGTTTCTTTTACATTCTTACCAAGTTAAGAATGTAAACCTGTAACTGCTAGAAACCATTATGGGGAGACCTTCCTGAGAATGTAGCCAGTACAGAGTAAGGCGGAGCTGAAAGATGGAGAAAGAGAATCCTGATAACATCAAGTTGCTAGATCCAGCTCAGCCTGAAGCTAGCTCCCTGAGCTTTTCAATTATATGAGCCAACACATTTATTTTCTGGATTTATATCCACTTGTGTGTTTCCATATGCATGGGTTCAGTCAAGGAAAAACCAAAATGTTATAGCTTCTACGCACATATACAAACATAGTGTGGCTTATGTTGTGCCCGCTTAGCTTGTTATTGAGTTACTGCTATCTTTAAGCACTTGCGTAGTTCATTTCCAATTTCATAGCTGCACAAAGGGGTTTTAATTTCTGATCTATTTCACAGTGCTGTAGATTTACTGGTGGGGATGGGGAAGAAAAGGTGGTTAACCTTTAAGGTGATTTTCATCAATGACCCCTTATGTTTGAAATGAAATGATTTTGAGTAAGATGTATCCAAAGCCAGTGATTTTAACTTACCAGGCTAAGAGAATTTAAACCAGAAATCAACCCTGACATCTTTTACTTTCCCTGTGTGTTACACAGCCTTCCTTTTGCCACGCAGGTCAGCAGCCCTTCAAGTCTTTCTGGCAGGATAGTTTCTGGGCTATCATAAAAGACACTCCTGGTCTATGATATCTCAGCACAGTAAACCCATTACAGGCTGTTTTTCTGCAAGAATCTGATCAATAGATCTGCTTCCCCAGGGGTAGAGAAAGAACTAACAGTGAGTCCTGATAAACCTTCTCTGGCATTGCTCATTTCCTCAAGTGCTATACATGGAACACACTTATTACTTCAGTCCTCTGCTATTAATAAGCCCTTCTTGAGGAAAAGCTAAAAGCTCTAATTCCATCCAGATGCAAGCAGTATGCAATACCAAGCACCTCTTTCCTGATGTTCTAGCAAAATTACTAAGAGTACATCATGACTCATGCGTTCTCCAGCATTCCTCTCTGCACTAAAATCTGAATCCAGGGAATTTGGAGCAAGGTGCCTCTTGGCAATGGACTTTTCAGAGACTGTAACTCACACTGTGGCTCTGCCATATACGGTCTCTCCTCACAGAGAAAGGCAGTCACCATTGAAAAATTCACTCAGGAGTTCAGCTGCACATCTTTAAAGCCCCTCAGAGAAAAAATGCGATGCGGCTCACTGCAAACCCACAGCATCTTCAAAAGATTTGTAAACAAGTCCTTTGCTGCAGACTCCATAATACTACCACTCCACATGCAAGGAGTCCAAAAAGCTTTCTTCTGTTAGATTCAGTGGAGATAAATAACCGTGCACCAAGCAGCCTTATACATTGAACCGAATGCTCAGACACAATACAATGATGTGTCTAAAATTTCTACCTGTTCCTTTTTCTACCAGAAACCCAACCTCCTGAGTACCTCACTTGCTCTGTGAAACTTGCCTCTCTGTCCTTTCTCTCTCTGTTCCTTTCCACAGTGATATTCTGGATAGTAAGTGCTTCTGAGAGGCAATAATAGTATTGGATAGCTTTAGTACGGTTTTCAAGAAGAATATTCTGGAATCTTTGTGATAGAACGTTTAGGAAAAAATATTTCAACCATCAAAACTTATAGGAAGAGCTTTAACTAGAACCTACCCTACCCCACCCCATCTCACTCCCAAGTAAGGCTACGTTAAGGGGAATACCTGTTCAAAGGAAAAACAAGTATATGGGAAGCTATCGCCTCTGTCTTGGAATAAGTACTACCTGTTTGCATAAAATTATAGCAGGAAGAGAAAGAAAGTAACCCCTAGGAAGTGTGAAAAGGGCAGGGTGTTTCTAGAATACTCTTTTTCCTGTGAAGTCTATTTTGGGGAGGGCAAATGAGGGGAAGAGGTAAACGTTTTACTAAAAGTGTGGATGTTGATATAAAACGTTGTTAAGGAAGACACTACTTAGTCCAAAAGTTGCCTCTTATTCTTGGATTCATTTCAAATAAAACTTTCTGTTTAAGATCTTTGAAAGAATTGTATTTATTTATTTATTTTGAGACAAGGTTTCACTCTGTTGCCCTGGCTCACCGAAAACTCAGGCTTCTGGGCTCAAACCAGCCTCCTGCGACAGCCTCCCAAGTAGCTGGGACTACGGTTGCGCACCTCCGCACCCAGCTGATTTTTCTTTTCTTTTTTTTGAGATAGTCTTGCTCTGTCACCCAGGCTGGAGTGCAGTGGCATGATCTCAGCTCACTGCAACCTCCACCTCCCAGGTTCAAGCAATTATCCTGCCTCAGCCTCCCGAGTAGCTGGGATTACAGGTGTGAGCCACCATGCCTGGCTAATTTTTGTATTTTTAGTAGAGACAGGGTTTCACCTGTTGGCCAGGCTGGTCTTGAACTCTTGACCTCATGATTCACCCGCCTTGGCCTCCGAAAGTGCTGGGATTACAGGTGTGAGCCACCGTGCCCGGCCCACATCCAGCTAATTTTTAAATGTTTTGTAGAGATGGGGTCTCGCTATGTTGCGCAGGCTGGTCTCAAACTCCAGGCCTCAAGCAATCCTCCTGCCTCAGCCTCTCAAAATGCTGGGATTACAGGCGTGAGCCACCATGGCCAGGCTTTAAAAGAAATTTCTACACGTTACCCTAATAGTTGGTTTGAGTTTTCTTTTGTTATTATGTAATTTCCAACTTTGAGGAAACTACTAGTATTTATAGGTAGAATTCACAAATTATGCAAATTGAAAATGTAAGAAATCTTTAGTTGCAACATTCACATCACCACCTAGAGTGACTAATTTTTCCAAATTAGTAAAGGAAGTTAGAACAATGAGTCAGTGAGTGGATCACCCTAATGAATAAAAATAAAATTTATGTTTTTCCCAGATGGACTGTATTTTTAAAATATTTATTAAGGTTTATTAATTTTCTGCCTAGATCTTGTTAATAGTTTTTCTCCGTATGTGATTCCACTCTTCAGTATGCTATAATATTTATACATGCACAATCCAATATTAGGTCACAGACATGGAATGGACCTTGATAGATAATCCAGACATACAAATAGTGAAGTATATTTTGATTTACTCAGGACTACAGACAGGCTAGCACCTTCTCTTGCCACACTTGAGAACCGTTTCAATATTTAACACAACCTTTAAGAAAGAAAGTCTGTGCTGCTTATCTAAATACCATCTACTAAACTATACATACAGTGAAGCCATTTATATGTCTTTTTTAGACCTCGTCAAATTTTACACACAATTAGATTGGCGTAGCAGGTCTGACTCTATGTTAAGGAAATGCCCTTATTATAGACGGCAGCAAGTATATGAACACACTTAAGCATTGTTTCTTTCTTTATTCAGCAAAGCTTCTTGAGCACCTGCTATGTGTCCAGCACTGTTGTAAGTGCTGTGGTGACTGAAGAAGACATGGTCTCTATTTTCAGAGAGATGCCTCAGTATAGAGGTGGCTGTGTAAACAGCATCACGGTAAAGGCTTTCCAAAAGCATGAGGGAATGGCTGTTGAGTGACTTGTGCACACACTAGAAATTATAAGCCTTCAGTTTGTTTTTTGTTTGTTTGTTTTTTTGAGATGGAGTCTCACTCTGTTGCCCAGGCTGGAGTGCAGTGGCGCAATCTCAGCTCACTGCAAGCTCCGCCTCGTGGGTTCACGCCATTCTCCTGCCTCAGCCTCCCGAGTAGCTGGGACTACAGGTGCCCGCCACCACGCCCTGCTAATTTTTGTATCTTTAGTAGAGACGGGGTTTGCACCATATTGGCCAGGCTGGTCTCAAACTCCTGACCTTGTGATCCACCCGCCTCAGCCTCCCAAAGTGCTGGGATTACAGGCGTGACCACCGCGCCCAGCCGCCTCTAGTTTTAAGGGGCGAAGAGTTATGAACAAGAGAGGCAGCTGGGCTAACGATAAATAAACTTTTAGGTAAAAAACAAACAAACAAACAACAATCAACAAAAAAAACGCGAGGCGCGGTGGCTCACTCCTTTTAATCCCAGCACTTTGGGAGGCCGAGGCGGGCAGATCACGAGGTCAGAAGATCGAGACCATCCTGGCTAACACGGTGAAACCCCGTCTCCACTAAAAATACAAAAAATTAGCCGGGCGTGGTCGTGGGCGCCTGCAGTCCCAGCTACGTGAACCCGGGAGGCGGAGCTTGCAGTGAGCCGAGATCGCGCCCCTGCGCTCCAGCCTGGGCGACAGGGCGAGACTCCGTCTCAAAAAAAAAAAAAAAAAAAAGCACCAAAATTAGATTAATAGTGTGGCCATAATCTTTTCTTGAAGAGAAAAGTTGAAGTTTGAAGGGAAAGACGCTAAAAATCCTCAGGGAATCAGTTTAGTAGCGAAGCAACGTGGAGATTGAGAGCACAAGAGTCTACGGGGACTTAAACACCAAAGTTCAGGAGCTGCGTAGAAGCCCAAGTATATTTCACGCAAGCCTAAGCAGATGAGTGCGGTGGAATCAAAGAGAATGATAAAGTCCCCTCTTAATTAGAGTAGCTGAGTCTTGTAACCCAGAAACCTTTTAATGCCAACCTGGCTTAAAGTCTCAGAACTCTCCTAGAAGTGGTCCGACTCCAGAAGAGTTAAGGATCCTTGAGTTCGATTTCCTTCCTTCTATTGCTTGTTGCAAATTCTACAGGAAAATTGGGGCTGGAGGAAACCGTGATTACAAATAGATTAATTGTAAAGGTGCTGTATTTGCCTAGGTATTTATATTTCTTTACATTTTACTCTGCTGTAGTCCAACTGACTATACTATTCTTCGACACATGTGCAAAGCCCTTGCAATTGAGAAATATATTTGTATAAAAATATATGTGATTAAAATTAATAATGTTTTTAACTCAGTTAATTATGCTTATGGGATTCTTGGCTCTTCGGGGGCCGAAGTACCATAAATCTGCACCCCGTCCACACACACTCATACCTGTAAAGACAGCTTATCTTAAACGCAGGCAAGATGAAGTAACAGGAACAGCTAACATCCGTTGGTTTTTGCTATATGGCAGACACTGTATTAATTATTTTGCATGTTGTATTTTAATTAATTCTCTCAACTACCTCAGAATCTAGGAACCATAGTTATCATCATTTTATATCTCAGGAAACTAAAAGGAAATTTGCACGAGTTTGCACAGCTGGCAAGCAGCAGAGCCAGAATTCCAGGCCACAGGAGATCTGACCCCAGAGCCCACTCTGTCCAGGATCACACGGTACAAATTTACCTCCTTTTTTGAAATATAAGCAGCAGGTAGGTACTGTCTTCTGAGGAGCAAAAAGGAAAGGAAACTAACATGGGTTAGAAATGTGAAAGTGGAAAATGAATGAAAGTTGTGAAGAACAGAGAGACAAAGAGCAGAGCTCAAACAAGACACATAGAGGCAGGGCATGGTAGCTTATGCCTATAATCCCAGCACGCTGGGAGACTGGGGCTGGAGGACTGCTTGAGGCCAGGAGGTGAAGACCAGCCTGGGCAACACAGTGAGACCCTCGTTTCTTAAAAAAAAAAAGAAAAGAAAAGAAAGAAAATTTTTAAAGGCACATAACAAGAATGTCATTAAAAATAATTTTAGTGAGGTTAGCCAGGGTTCTCTAGAAAAGTAGAACCAACAGGAGATAGATAGACACATGATAGATAGATAGATAGATAGATAGATAGATAGATAGATAGGATAAATGATAGATGAGATAGATAACAGAGAGAGATTAGAAAGATAGATAGATAGATAGATAGATAGATAGATAGATAGATAGATAATTTATTATGAGGGATTGGCTCAGGTGATTATGGAAGCTGATAAGTTCCACAACTTGCCATCTGCAAGCTGGAAGCCCAGGAATGTCAGTGGTATAGTTTGAACCCAAACCCAAAGCCCCAAGAACCAGGGCAGCCAATGTTTGTCCCAGTCCAAGTCCAATGCTAGAGAACCAGGAGCACCAATGACCAAGGTTAGGAAACATGAATGTTCCAGCTCAAGAAGAGAGAGCAAATTCACTCTTTCTCCACCTTTTTACTCTGTTGGGTCCTCAGTGAATTGGATAATGCCCACCTGCACAGGTGAGGGCAAATCTTCTTTACTCAGTTTACCAACTCAAATGCTGATCTCCTCCAGAAGCATCCTCATAGACGCACCCAGAAATTACGTTTGACCAGCTACCTGGGCATCCTTTCGCCCAGTCAAGTTGACACATAAAATTAATTGTTACATTCCATGACTACCTTGCTCCCTTCCTATCTTGTTCCACATTGTTGAACTCTCTTTATTTTATTCGAGAAAGCTATCACAGCTTGTATTTTTGCTTCTTTTTAATCTTGATCACTTCCTACACTGGTAGTTCTGTTTCCCCTCAGTGTACACATAGCACAAAGCTATACCTCGCACATAATCAGCACACAAGAAGCACTTATTGAATTAGTGATTGAATCAATTGACTAATGTAACTTTCAAAACTAGAGGCTCTGTTCCCAATAATGTCTTTACCAGTCAACTATAATTTATGTTTGTTCTTCTCTAACAACAGGAGACACTACCTAGCACTTATTCTCATGGCTTTCATCTCTGCCTCTTGGGCTTGTAATTCATATTTGCATGGCAGTCAAGACCCAGGGCATATGGAAAAGAGGAGGTTGCACTTAAAGAGGGAAGTATGGATCTCATTGAGATCAAAGAGAGACTATTTTTGTTAGTAGCTTCTGTGCTACTTAAATTTGTCATTAAAATCATTTCAGAATCACCTCCTCAGAAGAGGTGAGCTTTTTTGAAGGAATACGTAGGAAAAAGGTGATGTCAGATGGATAAGAGAATTTTGTTTCCACCATCTAGGGCCATGTGGAAGCACACGAGGAGGTGGAAGTATAAGGCAAGAGTGGGAGTGTTAAGCAGTTGTGATTTAAGAGCGTGGAGGTAGCAAATGTGGGAAGACGAGGGAATGACAGCACTCAGTTTAGCAGTGGGCTTAGCAATCTGGCAATAAACTGGGAGCTAACAAGGCCCACCTGGAGTGGTTAGTGACAAAAGAAACATTTGTAGCTCACCGAGAAGATTTAATTGAGGAGAAAATAATATGATGTTTGGCTAGCATGAAACTCATGCTGTATCTTGGACCCAACTTCTTTTGGAATTTTGAAACGGGCAAGAAGTGACTGACATGTTTGTGCTTCTGGACTGAAAACTTGTTTCTTTGGTGGTATTTTAGCACCCATGCCAGCATTATCGTTATTTGCTCCATACTGATTGTATCCTGGTTTTCATGTTTCTTAACATGAGACATTTCATTATTACGATCTTTCTTATTAAAATTGTTTTATTTTATTATTCGATTAACTTCTTGGCACAGATGTACTTTTTATGCTAATCATAGATTTGTGCCTTTTTAACTTTTTATTTTCCATCTTTTTCATGATAGTTCAACTTTGCTTGGTTATTTTATTTTTTTGCTGTATACTTATAAAACCTGTCTTCCATATTTAGTCATAAAAGATTCATTCACCTTAGAGATTCCAATATTCATTTTTTTAAAAGCCTACAGTCCATCTGTTACCATCTCCTCAGATATTAAATTTTATTACCCTTTGTTGTTTCCTGCAACTTTTGGCAGAAGAGACTATTCTCCAGTAAGCTCACTTACTTCATATGGCAAGAAATATATCAAGTTTTTGTCAGCATTCGCTATAGACAAATTATTAAGCATGTCCAAAAAAATGTTTATATTTACCACTTTTTATGTCATGGGTGCAGTGTGTAGGGTGGGGGATAAGTAGATCACAGATACAAAGGAAAGTCATGGAAATTGGAGTGTTGTATTAGTTTTCTATCACACTGTAACAAATTACCACAACAATGGCTTAAAACAACATACATGTATTATCTCACAGTTTCTGTAGGTCAGGAGTCTGGCATAGCTTAGTTGAGTCATCTCCTCAGGGTCTAGGCTGCCATCAAGGCATCAGGTGGGGTGCATTCCTTTCTGAAACTCAGGACCTTCTTCCAAGTTCATGTGGTTGCTGGCACACTCTCATTCCTTAAAGCTGTAGGACTGGGGCTGGCTTTCAGCAAAGCCACTCATGACTCCTAGAGACCATACACAGTTCCTTGCCATGTGGCCCCCTCACCGGCCTTTTCACGACATGATACCTTGCCTCTCAAGGGCAGCAGGGTACCTCATCCATTCTGATAAGGTAGAGTCCCATAAAACCTAATGCATACTCACAAGAGTAACCGTCCCCAACATCTTTGTGACACTAGGAGTCGATAAAGATCACCCTGACTCAGTGGAATGAGACGCTCCTCCCTTTCTCCTCTGGAGTTATGTCAGGGGAGGCCTAGAGGCCAGTAGAGGAGATTCAGGGCTTCCATGATCATCCATCATGCTATGGACTAAACTGTGTCCCCACAAAATTCCCGTGTTGAAGCCCTAACACCCAAAGTGACTGTATTTGCAGATGAGACCCATAAAAAGGTAACTAGGGTTAAATGAAGTCATAATGGTGGGCCTCTGATATGACAGGATTAGTCTCCTTATAAAAGGGGACACCAAGCCGGGCGCAGTGGTTCACACCTGTAATCTCAGCAGTTGGGAAAGCTGAAGCAGGAGAATCGCTGGAGCCCAGGAGTTTGAGACCAGCCTGGGAAACCTAGGGAGATACTGTCTCTACAAAAAGAATCATTTTTTTTTAATTAGCTAGGTTTGGTGGCACACCAAACTTGTGGTACCAGCTACTTGGGAGACTGAGGTTGGAGGATCACTTTAAGCCCAGGAGGTCGAGGCTGCAGCCTGCACAACAGACCAAGACCCTGTCTCAAGAAAAAAGAGAAAGGACATCAGAGAACTAGCACATGTGCATGTGTCCTGCCAAGTGTCAGGTTCCAGCCTATGCTGAGGTCCGAGGGGAGTGGGTGGATGGGTAGTGGATAGCTGAAAGAACACTCAAGGGGGCCATAGGCAGGTGAAATATGGCTTTTATTATGTTCTCTCTCTGCCAGCCTTTGTCTCGGCTGCCCGATCCGGCTGCAGCCCTTCTCAGCAGCTGGCTCTGCGGCTCCTGCCACCCCTACGGCTTTTCCTTATAGGGTTAGCAGCTTCACTCCTCTCTCTGGGTGTGAGCCGTATGTACAGTGTCAGCAGGGCAGTTATACCTTTTACAGACAACAGTGGCCCAGAGTAAGTATGAGCTTACATAAACAGGTTATATAATGAGTGCAGTTGGGTGCCTGTGCTCCAAACTTGCTGAGTCACACTGGCCCAGATGTCTGCCTTGACCTATTCTTGACTAAAGCACATCTATTTTCCTTACAGCATTCTCTTTCTCTCTCTCTCTCTCTCTCTGTATCTCCTTTACTCATGTATCTGACAAAGGACTAGTACCTAGAGTATATAAAGGACTATCAGTTCTTTAAAAACTCAACAGTTCAAAACCAAACAACAGCAAAAAATCCAATTAGAAAGTAGACAAAGGACAATACATTTCATTCAAGAGGATATGTGAATGGCAATATGTACATAAAAAGATGGTCAACATCACTAGCTGTTAGGGAAATGGAATCTAAGACCACAATGTGCTATCACTACATATCTATTAGACCAGCTAAAATGAAAAATAGTGACAACATCAAATGCTGACAAGGACACAGGGAAGATGGATCTTTCATACATTTACATTACGGATGGGAATGTAAAATAGGACAACCACTCTGGACAATACTTTAGCAGTTTCTTTAAAATCTAAACATACATTTACTCTGTGACTCAGCAATTGCACTCCTGAGTATTTATCTCAGAGAAATGAAAACTTATATCCACACAAAGACCTATACATGATTATTCATAGCAACTGGATTTTTTAATAGCCCCAAATTGGAAACAATCAAAATGTTCTACAATAGGTAAAGAGTTAAATAAACTGTGATACATCCACACCATGGCATACGATTCCACAATAAAAAGGAACAAACTATTAGCACATGCAACAACTTGGATAAATCTCAAAAGCATTATGCTGAGTGGGAAAAAAATAATCTCAAATGGAATACTTCATGATTCTATTCATGAAATATTCTCAAAATGAAAAAATATTATAGCAATGAAGAACAAATTAATGGTTGACAGGGGTTATGGATAGTTGAGAGGCAGGGTGTGTGTGTGACTATAAACCAGTAGCACAAAGGAGATCTTTATGGTGATTAAATAGATCTGTATCTTGATTCTGATGGTGGTTATATGAATCTACATATGTAATAAAATGACATAGAACTATACATGCACGTTATGAGAGTGTCAATTTCCTGGTTTTGCTATGGTACTATTGTCACATAAGATGTAACCAATGGGGAAAACTGGGTGATGAATACAGAAGACCTCTCTGAAACATCATTGTAATTTGCTGTCACTCTACAATTATTCCAAAAATAAAAAGTTTCAAAATTTGAAAATATATGTGTGTTTATGTATGTATGTATGTATCTATTTACTGGTAAAATTACTACAACCTTTAGGTGTTTTGTTTTGTTTTAATGATTTTTGAAGCCACTAATTTAGGACAAGAATATTTCTGTACCTCTACTGTATTACCCAGTCTGTGTATTGGTGGGATGACCTTGAGTAAACTCCCTGAACTTCTGTTTCTGTAGTTGTAAAATTGGGATAGTTATACTTTACATGCCCTCTGAGTTTTTCTAAGGGTCAAACAAGGTAATGTGAAAACCCCAACTCTCTACCTGATAAATGACAGACACTGAGTGAAAATTAATTTCTTTCCTTCCTTCTTGTTTTTCTTTCACTTTGTATTGCATTACTTGATGAATCCTTATTTTCACCTGGGTTTCAAGTACAATTCTGGCTCCATTATATCATGGTTTTCCCCTTTCTCTTTGATATAACACTTTTCTTTGGTCAAGGTACAGTGGCTTTAACTGAGAGAGTTTCTACAATTATGAACCTTCTTGAAGAGGACTTGCTTAGGTTTTGGGGGTTTTGTAAAATTCTTTATTTTTTCCCTTTCTTGAAAATTTCAGATGGCTCTTTTCCAATGCTTTGCTTAGGTTTTTAAAGGAAATGATTTAGCTGGGTGCAGTGGCTCATGCTCCTGTAATCCCAATACTTTGGGGGGCTGAGGCAGGAGGATTGCTTATGGCCAGGAGTTCAAGACCAGCCTGGGCAGCACAGTGAGACTCCATCTGTACAAAAAGTAAAAAAAAAAAAAAAAAAAATAGCCAAGTATGATGGTGCGTGCCCAGGAGCTTGAGGTTGTGGTGAGCTACGATTGCACTATTGCACTCAGGCCTGGGTGACAGAGCCAGACCCTGTCCACCCCCAACCCCCCCCAAAAAAAATAAAAAATAAAGATAATGATTCACAGCTTAGATAGATAAACTAAAAGTCTGATGGATAAAAGGAATGGAAGCTCTTTGTAGAAATGTTCATTCAAAGACTGGAGCAGGCGATGACTAAGATAAGCCTTGAGTGTCTTTTTGTGCCATAAAGTAAGAAAACTATGCAGAACTAATGGGATCATGTCTAAAGGAAACAGAAGCCTAACCAAATGTATTTCCACAGGTTAAAAATGGCACAAATTGGGCATCAAAAAGGATTAGTAAGAAGGAGGCATCCAAGACAGTATAATCTCCTTAAATTCCCCGAAAAACATAAACAGCAACTAAGATAGCGAAACAGAAGACTCATGAGTGATCTCTCACAATAACTCTAGGTGACAAGTATTTTTGTGGTCCCCCAAGTACACAACACCCTCACCTACAGGATGTGAGCAGTATCAGTATTTGCATTGGAGGAAAAAAGTAATGACCAATGATCCTCTAATGGCCTTGAGATCATGACAGCAACAAAAGTCACCATGTGGTACTCACTACAACGTGCAAGTTCATCTGAGAACAATGGCTGAAACTGACAGGGGGGTCTGCAGGATAAAACTTATGGGCAAATTCACAGGGACCATGTTGTAATCAGGCCTAATGATAGAAAAGATCAAATGGAGCAGTCGGGGTCTCATAAACTCTCAAAATTAACAAATTAAATCTCCTCTACAAGACAAAATTCTGCACTGAGGGCAAACTACTGAAAAGAGAATCCAGGTTAGGCAGGATTTGAACTACAAGGGCAAATAAAGAGAAGATCTAGTTAAAAGTTGGAAAGCAAAGTAAGGAGAAAAAGGAAACAAATCTTAGAAATTACTTTTGGTCACTTTGGAGGAAAAAAACCCCACACAGATTTTTTAGATCTATAGAGCAAGAAAATATCTTCTGCACTTCTCCTAAAAGTATAGGAAAAAAGATTACAGTGAAATTTCTTACAAAGTTATTATAAGAAAAAAAGAAAACAAGAGTAGAATAACATGCCTGTAGATAATAAAATCATGCCAGAAAAACGAGCCCATAAAAAAACTCACGAAAATTATAATTTAATATTTTTAAAAACTAAAAAAATAAAAGCATGGTAAAAATTATTAGATGACAACACATATCAAAATCAGCAAAATTGAAAAAATCAGATAATTATTGAAAACAAATATTTAAGAAAACAGGTGACAGAACTCAAGAAAGAATTAGAAAAAATAAAAATAATTTTAGAAATAAAAACAAAACCAGAAGGAACACACATATGCTTTAAGAGAAATAGAAAATGGAAATGGAAAAGTTTTAAAAAATAATAATAAAAAAACACATTAAGGAAAAGATAAGAATTTGAAAGAAAGACAAAGAAGATAAACAAAAGGCTAACATTCATGTAACAGGAACCTGAAAGAGAAAATGAAAACAATAGAACAGAATAAATATTAAAAATTATAATTCAAGGCACAGCACGGTGGCTCTTATCTGTAATCCCAGCACTTTGGGAGGCCGAGGCAGGAGGATCTCTTGAGGTCAGGAGTTCGAGACCAGCCTGGCCAACATGGTGAAGCCCCATCTCTACTAAAAATACAAAAATTAGCCAGGCATGGTGGTGGGCGCCTGTAATCCCACCTACTCGGGAGGCTGAGGCAGGAGGTGGAGGTTGCAGTGAGCTGAGATTGCACCACTGCACTCTAGCCTGGGCAACAAGAGTGAGACCCTGTCTCAAAAAAAACAAAACAAAAAAAAAAAGTTTTCTTTAATTCAAAAAAACTTTTTGAAATAAAAAATGACTTGAAACTATATATTGAAAGGGTACACAACTAGTAAAAATGTTGGATTTTTTTTTGTAAAAACAATGCTTCAGACTTCAAACAAAAAACTAAGACTCTTGTAAGGAAGGATAAAAGGCAGATTGTCATCAGAGTTTTCTACAGCAGAAAATGTAAATCATGGATTTAATATCCAGGCAAAATTAATTTCAAGTATGAAGGTCACAGGTAAGTTGCTACAAACAGGCAAGAACTCACATAATACTATTCCCATAGGGACGTCCAGAAAAATCTACCAGGGCTTCAAAAAATAAAAAAGACTAGCGAAACATCAAAACAAGAACTAGTGTTGAGCCCTATGTAAGTAAATAGTCACATGAAGAACTGAGACCAAATGACAGGGTCTACAATCATGATCTTACAAGGTCAAATCCAGGATGAAATAGCATAAAAAGTGATGTTAAAAGCACTTTATAGTGTTAAAGGCTATAGTCACAATGAAGATATAATAGTTATTGATAGTTATATACCTAATAAAATAGCACAGATTTTCACAGAGCAGGAACACAGAAAAGAAAAGGAGAATTAACAAACATGCAAATAATAGAAAAATTTAGCAGATTCTTAAAAGAAAGAGATAGATATAGAAAATAGACAAAAGCCAATATACATATAATAGGAACCAAAAAGAGGAAACCGAAGCAATAGAATACAGCAGAAAAGGAGAATTAAGAAACATACACATTTTTGCAATCTACTCATCTGACAAAGGGCTAAGCTCCAGAATCTACAATGAACTCAAACAAATTTACAAGAAAAAAAAACAACCCCATCAAAAAGTGGGCAAAGGATATGAACAGACACTTCTCAAAAGAAGACATTTATGCAGCCAACAGACACATGAAAAAATGCTCATCATCACTGGCCATCAGAGAAATGCAAATCAAAACCACAATGAGATACCATCTCACACCAGTTAGAATGGCAATCATTAAAAAGTTAGGAAACAACAGGTGCTGGAGAGAATGTGGAGAAATAGGAACACTTTTACACTGTTGGTGGGACTGTAAACTAGTTCAACCATTGTGGAAGTCAGTGTGGCCATTCCTCAGGGATCTAGAACTAGAAATACCATTTGACCCAGCAATCCCATTAGTGGGTATATACCCAAAGGATTATAAATCATGTTGGTATAAAGACACATGCACACGTATGTTTATTGTGGCACTATTCACAACAGCAAAGACTTGGAACCAATCCAAATGTCCAACCATGATAGACTGGATTAAGAAAATGTGGCACATATACACCATGGAATACTATGCAGCCATAAAAAAGGATGAGTTCATGTCCTTTGTAGGGACATGGATAAAGCTGGAAACCATCATTCTCAGCAAACTATTGCAAGGACAAAAAACCAAACACCGCATATTCTCACTTATAGGTGGGAATTGAACAATGAGAACACATGGACACAGGAAGGGGAACAACACACACCGGGGCCTGTGGTGGGGTAGGGGGAGAGGGGAGGGATAGCATTAGGAGATATACCTAATGTTAAATGATGAGTTAATGGGTGCAGCACACCAACATGGCACATGTATACATATGTAACTAACCTGCACATTGTGCACATGTACCCTAAAACTTAAAGTATAATAAAAAAAGAAACATACAAATAATGGAAAATTTTAACATAGTTCTCAAACCAAGACAGATCACAGGGATAACAATTTTAGTGAAGCCACAGAAAACCTGAATACAAAAATCAATGAGGTAGATGTACAGGTATATATTGTGCTCTCAAGCCCGATACTAGAAACTACCTACTTCTTAAATTCTCATCAATGCTCATGAAAAATGATCATATCAAGCCATAAAGAAAACCTCAATAAATTCCAAAGAATTGTCTGACAATAATGCAATCCAACTAAAAAATAATGAAATTTTAAAAAACCAGAAATCTCTTTCCTCCAGAAACATTCAGTTACAACATTTGATTCAAAGAAGACATACAGGCTGGACACAGTGGCTCACGCCTGTAATCCCAGCACTTTGGGAGGATGAGGTAGGTGGAGCACTTGAGGTCAGGAGTTCGAGACCAGCCTGGCCAACATAGTGAAACCCTGTCTCTACAAAAAAATTAGCTGGGCATGGTGGCAGGAGCCTGTAATCCCAGCTACTCGGGAGGCTGAGGCACAAGAATCACTTGAAGCCGGGAAGCGGAGGTTGCAGTGAGCCAAGATTACGCCACTGCACTGCAGCCTGGGTGACAGAGCAAGACTCCATCTCAAAAGATAAAAATAAATTAATTAATAAAATAAAATAAAATAACACAACACAAACAACATACTTTTTGGACAAATAACTATATTTTTCAAAACAAAAATATTTAGGGAGAATAACAATGTTGTTTCACATTTTTGCAAACTTCTTTAATGTCTAGCTTCATGTAAGACAACTGGATACTCCTGTCTGTTTCTGCATTCAATTTGTTGCAATATGTTGTTTTGGTTGAGGTATGTGAAGATAATCTGGCTTCACACAGTTATGTAGGTGGAAAAAAGAGGAATATGTTAATATCTTTTTTGTATACATGTGGATATTCATCTTTGATACTATACTAAAACTTGGCAAGTGGTAGTTGCTTAAATGTTAGTTAAAATGTGGGAAATGAAATCGGATCAATTGAACTTCTCACTGTTAAGTACATTAAAATCCAATTATCTATCTAGCAATTTGAATGGTTCTTTTACCTGCATGGCATCATGCGTTCATCATTTGGAAAGTATTGGCTTGCTGAGTTTTGTAGATATATTACATTATACAATATTGAAAAAATATAGTTGTTCATATCACTACTGATCTCATCTATTGTAAGCTGTCAAGTTCATGGTGACAAGTACAATTTTTCCAAACTTCGAATTTTTACTTGAGAGCTCAAATGTTACCATTGGCAAAAAATACAGCAGTAATTTTCCTTGAAGTGTCAGGATCACCACATTGATTTTTGAGAAAATTGCTGCCATATATCCAAGTTTGAATTAACATATTTTGTTAGTTGTCCTTTTAAGTAAAAGTGGTGTTTCATTTAAACATTTAAAAAGTGGCTAGTTCAGCTTGCAACTAAAATAATCCCACAAATGCTTTTACTCAGGACGTTATACTTCAATATGCAGCAGAAGTGCCTTATATGTATTTCCAACTCAATAAATCAAATATTTAAGTGACATATATTCAATAAAATTAATATTTCACTCCTTGATCCAGAGATTTTTAAGTGAAATTTGAATTTTTTTTTTTTGCAAGTACATGTTGAATGGCACTGACTACACCACAGTTTGTTGTGAACGCCTTGATTTATGCTAAGGCAGTTTTTCTCCACCATCACTTTTACACAATTATTGCAAATGTCCCTACATGAACAAGGAAAATAAACTTCTAGTATTATTATGAAGATGGTTTTCATCTCACAAACACCCCTGAAAGGCCTTTGGATTTCCAGGGGTCCATAGACTACACATTAATGAGCACTGGTCTAAACTCTCCAATTAAAAGGCAGAGGTTATCATACAGAGTTAAAAAAAAAAAAAGCAATACCAAACTATATGCTGTCTACAAGAAAGACACTTTAAGTATAAAAACACAAATTGGTCAAGTAGATGAATAATAAAAATATACCATGCAAACACTGATCCTGAAGCAGCTGGAATGGCTATACTAATATTAGATGAAGTAGACATCATGAAAAAGTATATGCCCATTAGTAAAAAGGGACATTTCATAATGATAAAGGATCAATTTATTAAGAAGACATTATAATCCTGAATGTGTATGCACCCAATAACAATGATACTAAAGACATGAAGAAAATATGGCATAACTAAAAGGAGAAATGGTCAAATCCCCAATTATATTTGGAAATTTCAACAGCCCTCTCTCAGCAATTGATAAAAGAAGTAGATAAAAAATTTGTAAGGATATAGAAGCCTCAAATAACATTAACAACAAACCTGACCTAGCTGACATTTGCAAAACAATATATCCCACAACAGAAAATATTCTTGCTTTTGGCCAGGAGCTGTGGCTCATGCCTGTAATCCCAGCACTTTGGGAGGCTGAGGCAGGTGGATCACTTGAGGTCAGGACCCACTGGGTCTCTTCCACAACACGTGGGAATTATTGGAGTACAATTCAAGATGAGATTTAGGTAAGGACACAGAGCCAAACCATATCAGCTCCCATCTCAACAAACTGAAACAAATTAAACTCAAAGCAATTAGAAAGAAGAAAATAATGAAGACAAGACCAGAAATCAATAAAAATAGAAAATAGAAAAGCAATAGAGAAAATGAAGTCAAAAGATGGTTCTATGGTTCTATGAAAATATTTAAAATATTTTTCTTTTTGTCTTTTAAAAACATAATATTTGTATTAAAATTAATAAACTTCTATCTTGACTGATTAAAAAATAAATGAGATTCAAATTACCAGTATCGGGAATGAAAGAAGGGCTATCACTATAAACATATTGATTTTAGGAGGAGTGTAAAAGAATGTTATGATTAACTTTATGCCAATAAATCCAACAATTTACCTGAAATAGAAAAATTTACTAAAAGACATGAAATGCCAAAACTGACACAAGATGAAACAGAAAATCTGAATACCTCCATATCCATTCAATAAACTGAATTTTTCAAAGTCTTCCCACAGAAAAAGAACTCCATGCCTACAGAGCTTTACTGGTGAATTCCATTAAATATTTGAGGTAGAAATAATATCATTTAAACACAAGCTCTTTCCGAAAATAGAGTAAAAGGAACACTTCGCAATTCATTTTATGAGGACAAAATAACCCTGAAAACAAGACATCACAAGAAAAGAATACTACAGACCAATATCTTTTATGAACAGAGATGCAAAATTCTTTTAAAGAATAGCAACTCAAGACCAGCGATATATAGAAAGGATAATACAATGTGACCAAATGGGATTTATCTAGGGAATGCAAGGTTGGTTTAACATTCAAAAATCAACTAACGTAATTTACCATCTTAACAGAACAAAAATAAAAACTAAATAAGTATCCCAATAGATGCAAAAAATGCTTCGAACAAAATTCAACATAAATTTATAATAAAAATTTGTAGCAAACTAGGAATAGAAGGAATTTTTCTCAACCTTATAAAAGGCCCCAATGAGAAAACTACAACTAACATTTTACTTAATGGTGAAATACCCCACCTCCCCTCTCCATTTCTATTCAACGTTATACTGGAGATTCTAACCAGAATAATGAGGTAAAGACATAAAAAGCATACATATTTGAAAGAAAAAATCAAATTGCCTATATTTGCAGATGACAAGATCATATACATATGGAGCTTACATAAAAGCTATTAGAAATTAATAAGTCAATTTAGCAAAGTCCTATAAGATCAATATACAAGTATCAATTCTATTTCTACATGCTGACAACAAATTACCTGAAATTTTTTACTTTGTTAAAAAAGTACCATTTATAATAGCTTCAAAGACCATGGAATACTTAAGAATAAAATTAACAAGCATATGTAAGACCTGTAAATTGAAAACTAAAAAAAAAATTGTTAAGGAAAAATTTAAACTACCTAAATCAGTGAGATATGCCATCATTATGAATTAGAAATTCAATTTCTTTTTTTTCTAGAAATCTGATTTCTTTTTTGCTTTTTTTTGTTGTTGTTGTTGGTTGTTTGTTTTTTGAGACAGGGTCTCACTCTGTCACCTGGGCTAGAGTGCAGTAGTGCCATCTTGTCTCACTGCAATCTCCACATTCTGAGCTCAAGTGATCTTCCCACCTCAGCCTCCTGAGTAGCTAGGACTACAGGTGTGCACCACTATGCCCAGTTAATTTTTTTGTTTGTAGAGATCAATCTGGGCAACATGGTGAAACCCTGGCTCTACAAAAAATACAAAAATTAACTGGGTGTGGTAAAGCAAGCCTGTAGTCCCAGCTACTCCAGAGGCTGAGGTGGGAGAATCACTTGAGCCTGGGAAGTCAAGGTTGCAGTGAGCCATGATTATGCCACTGCACTCCAGCCTGGGCGACAGAATGAAGTTAAGCAAATGGCCCATATAGTCCAGCTATTGCACTCCTAGGTATTTACCAAAGAGAAAAGAAAACATACTTCTACCCAAAGACCTGTACGGGAATATGCATAGTAGTTTTATTCATCATAACCAAAATCTGGGAATAAGTACAATGTCCATCAATAGATGAATAAACAAATTTTGGGATATCCACACCATGACTCCCAGCAGTATTATGGAATAAATAACTGACACACACAGCATGGTTGACTCTCAAGAACAGGATGCTCCGCAAAGACAGCCAGGTACAAAAGAGTACATATTGCATGATTCCCTTTACATGAAATTCCAGAAAGGGCAAAACAAAGCTATAGTTACTGAAAGCAGACAAATAGTTCCCTGGGACCAGTTTCCTGGTGAGAGGTTGACTGCAAAAAGGCACGAGGGAGCCGTGTTCGGTGGGTGGAAATGTTCTTTATTTTGACTATGGTCATTGTTACACAGGTCTATACATTTGCACAAATCTCTTGGGACTGTACATTTAAAATAGCCAGACATGGTGGCACTCACCTGTAGTCCCGACTACTTGGGAGGCTGAGGTGGGAGGATCACTGTAGTCCAGGAGTTCGAGGCTGCAGGAGCTATGACTGCACCACTGCACTCCAGCCTGGGCGACAGAGTGTGACCCTGTCTGAAATAAATAAATAAATAAGATGTTGTATCTTATATAAATAATCCTTGAATAAAGTTGATTTTTTATAAAGAAGCTAGAAATTCAAATTTTTAAACTATGACATTTGCTGGGTGTGGTAGCTCACACCTGTCATCCCAGCACTTTGGGGGGCTGAGGCAGGAGGATTGCTTGTGGCCAGGAGTTTGAGACCAGCTTGGGCAACATAACAAGATGTCATCTCTACAGAAAAAAAATTAAAAATAAAATTAAAAGTTAAAAAAAACGACACCTAATTCAAACTTAAAAAAAAACCTTTTAGACTAAGGTCATGGAACTGTGACCCAGAATTCTGCTCTACAGTTTACCAAGTGTAGTAGCCAAGGTTTTCCAGAGAAATAGAACCAATAGGAGATATAAAATATATATATATATAATGTATAATATATACATATATATGTAAGATGTATAATGTATGTGTTTGTGTGTGTGTGTGTGTGTATACATATATATATAGAGAGAGAGAGAGAGAGAGAGACAGAGAGAGATTTATTATGAGGAATTGGTCCACATGATTATGGAGGCCAAGAAGTCCCACAATCTGCTGTCTGCAAGCCAGAGACCCAGGGAAGCCAGTCATGTAATTTAGTCCAAATCCATGACCCTGAGAACCAGGGAAGTGGGTGGTGTACCTCCCAATCAAGTCTGAAGGCGTGAGAAGGGGGTTTCAGGGCTGGGGAAGCGGAGTGTGGAGGAGAGGAGCACTGGTGTAAGTTCTGGAGTCCGAAGGCCTGAGAACCAAGCACTCTGATGTCCCAGGGCGAGAGATGATGGATGACCCAGCTCAAGAAGAGTGAATCTGTCCTTCCTCCAGCTTTTTGTTCTATCGGGTTTTCAACAGATTAAATGATGCTCTCCCACATTGGTGAGGGCAATTTTCTTTACTCAGTCTTCCAGAAACATCCTCACAGACACACCCAGAAACAATGTGTTACCAGCTCTCTGGGCCTTCCTCAGCCCAGTTGTGACCCAGAAAATTAACAATCACACCAAGTTTTCTGACAAGTCTCTTATGTTAACTTTACAACAACTATTGATTTAAATACTATTATTATCTCAATTTTACAACGAAGTCTCATTACATATTTTTCCCAATTTCACACATAACTCTTATATAGCAAAGCTGGGACACAAACCAGAATCTCAACTTTTCAAATCCTTTGTCTGATCCATTCCATTTTACAGTTATTAACAGGTTTTTCTAAAAAAAAAAATTAAGAATCCTAAGTCTCTTCTTCCTTAACACAATGATGAAATTAATGAGCAAGTGATCTCAAGCTACATCTAATTTCCTTTTTTCCTATTGTTCAACAGGAATAGTCTTGTACTTAGCATCAGCATAGATCCCTTGAGTCCTTAACTTATTTAATACATTTTTAATGCAGTAAGTCTCTCCCCAGTTCAAGTTTCTCTTCTTAGGAATCTCTTATGACTTCCCTCATTTTGTACTCACAGGATTAGATCTCTTTTATATCGCATACTGTTAACAAGGGTAACATGGCAGCCCAAGTCCTAAACTCCATGATCTAACTAAAGAATAGAGAAACATAAAATATTATGTAATTAACATCTTTAGTAAAAAACACTGTTCTTCCACATTATACCAATGTAAGGTGGGCTACTGGAAAAGGGGTTATCAAATGGCAAAATAATATTTAATAATAAGACAAATATAACAATGTATCTATAAATTGTTATGCTTATAAATACGTATACACACATGTGCCTCAGAGTTCCTGTACTCAAAACAAATTTGGAACTTAATAAAATGTATATTAACATTCTGAATGTATTTCTAAGTAGGAATTCTTAATCAACCTGGAACAAGAGACCCTCCTACGAAATACAAAGTAGTAACAGGAATTCCTGTTTCCAGTTGTTGTGATACAAAAAAACACAAAGTGTTTTTCCTAGTCTTTCACTCAACAATCAACATGGAATATTTCTGTGACCTCGGTCACCGAAATCTGCGGAGATTTCTCCCTACCAAGCAATCTTCATAGCTTCTCCTGTGGATACCAGCTGGGTGTCCTCTAATTCAATTCAATTCTGACTCTATCTACCTGGAGATAGCATTACATCCTATAGGTTGAGGGCTCAGTCCTACAAGACTTCCCCCAAATTCAGATGCTAATCATAAGTAGTAGGTTGTCACTTACTCTTCTGACTGGCTATAAATTGGGATTCTCACAGCCCCCTCCTTGCATTCTTAATTTGCTGGAGCAGTTCACAGAACTCAGGGAAACTTTTCACTAAGGAAAAATATTAAGCAGTGCTCCTCAAAGTCAGGTCCATGGATTAATGTCAGCCTGTGAGTGTTCGCTCCCAGTCCAGAAGACAGAAGTCCAGGAACTGAAAGGAAGCATTCTGAAAACTTTACAACAATTTGACAGAGTACTTTTATGTCTGTCGAATCCAAAAATAAACATGTGGGGTTTGTATTTTGCATGTCTTTGTTTTTTTCATTTAATTTTTTCCTCTAGTAATTCATGTTATTGTACTTTTAAAAAATACTAGGCTGTGATGATTAAAAGAAAAAAAAGACAAGTCTTTCACCACAGATAGTTTAAGAAGCACTCTATTAAAGGAGGTACTTCTGGAAGGATGATCCAAGATGCATGAAATAATGGAGAGGAAAGAAAATGGTAACTATTTGTATAAACAAAACAATTAGTCACTGTATCAACATTAATAATAATATCTTGTGGGGATTTTAAAAAATGATATTTAAAGATACACTATTGCAAAAATATATTCAATTGGTAGGTGTGGAGATAATAGGGTTCAAGCATTACAATTATGGAGACCAAAAAAGAATTTTTTTGTTGTTGGTTTTTATCCCTTCCATCACTCTAGGAAGAGGGTAAAGGTACTGATTACCTTTAGGCTTCAAAAGTGTAATTGTGTGTGTTGTGATTTCTAAAGTCATTACTAAAATAATAGACAATGAGATTAGTTGCCAAATTCATAGAGGAAAGAAAATGACAAGAAGAAATCAGTCAAAAGAAAGGTAAGAACAGTGTCAGGCTAAGGGTCATACACATGTACCACTAACAGGCCAGGACACAAATGCGAAGTCAGGTGTATTAGGGAAACTTGAAGGCAGAGAGCAGCTGCAAATACCACCCAGGCTCTCACTTGTCAGTATCACACAGGGAGGCACGCCTGAGGAGCAGAGCTCCAGCGGAAGGATCCTGTCCTCTGCGATTCTATGTATTCATAAGGGACATGGAAGGAGGCAGGGGTCACCAATGAGGCCCTCTAACAGTCAAGATTTCCTGGTCAAGAAAATGATCTTAGGTTAGGGGGTTCTGGAACTCAGCTAATAGTATTTTCCAGAAACTTTATGTGCTTTTATTGAGCTAGTTTCTTCCAAATGAGCTGCTTGTTAAGCTACAGAAAGTGAAGGTGAAAATTAGGACCAACTCTTTTAAAAGGAGAGGAAAAGGAGGCAGAATTAACAGAAAATCTCAAATAGGATAGTGATTTTTTAAAAACACAGTTTTGTCAATTGTTATATTAAATGTAAATGAACTAAATCCTCTGGTTAAAAGACAAAAATTTCAGACTTCACTTTAAAAATCCATACAAAGCATAAGTATATAAAAAGGTTTAAAATAAAAGGACAAAAAAGGGTGCTCTATGTAAATACTAACCAAATAAAAGCTGACATAGTCACACATACATACACACACACTCAGATATATATGTATATTACATGTATATACCTATATGTATATATGTGTATTACATGTATATACCTATATGTATATATGTGTATTACATGTATATACCTATATGTATATATGTGTATTACATGTATATACATATATGTATATATGTGTGTATATATATATATACTTATAACCATATGTGTGTATAGCTCTGTTGTGCTCTGTCTGTTGTCTCTTTTTATGCACACACACACACGTGTGCACACACAAACACACAGGAACACATACACTCATGCATTGTTTAATGACAGGGATGTATTTTGAGAAATCTTTCATTAGGCAATTTTGTCATTGTGCAAACATCACAGAATGTACTTACACAAACCTAGATGGTATGGCCTACTATATACCTAGGCCTACTACACACCTATTGCTGCTATGCTGCAAACCTGTACAGCATGTTACTGTGCTGAATACCATAGGCTTACTGGTAGGTATAACATAATGGTAAGTGTTTGTGTATCTAAACATAGAAAAGGTATAGTAAAAATACAGTATTATACTCTTATGGGATGACTGTCATATCTGTGGTCCATTATTGACCAAAATGTTATTATGTGGCACATGACTGTGTGTGTGTGTGTGTGCGCGTGTGTGTATATGTGTGTGTATAGTTTTCAACATGAGATGAAATAGATACTATGGTCAAAAGCATTATTAAAGAGGGTCGCTTCATAATAATAAAAGGTTCAATTCATCAGGAAGCCATAAGAATTCTAAATTTGTATGTTTCTAATAACATTGCCTTAAAATACATAAATAAAAAACTGACAAAATGTCAAGAAAAATAGACAAATTCACATCAGAGTAGAGAGATTTTAACATTCCTCTCTCAGTAATTGATAGATTATGGAGACCAAAAAAGATCAGTAAAGATATAAAAAATTTTAACAATATGCTTATAATTTTTTAAAAATTTTATAATGAACATATATAGAACACAACACCCAACAGCTGCAGAATACATATTCTTTTCAAGCACACACGTAGAATATTTACAAAAATTTACAAAAAGCTGGGACTGGGACACAAAGCAAGCCTCAATAAATTTTAGGATTGAAATTGTGCAAAGTATATTCTCATATTTTGGAGAATTGAGAAATAAAATTCTAAGGAGAAATCATAACACAAAAATTTTTTTGAACTAAAAGGTAATTAAAATATGACATCTCAAACATATAAGACATCACTAAATACGTTATTAGAGAAAAATGTATAGATGTACATCCATATATTGAAAAAGAAGGCAGGCACGGTAGCTTACACTTGTAATCCCAGCACTTTGGGAGGCCAAGGCTGGAGGATTGTTTGAGAAGAAAGGCTGAAAGTGAATAAGCTATTCATCTATCTCAAGAAGTTAGAAAAAGAACAGCAAAATAAAAGAAAGTAGAAGACAATAATAAAGACAGCAGCAATTAATGAATTACAAAACAAGTATAAAATAAAGATAGTCAACTAACCCCACATTTGCATTTTTTAAAACACTGGTAAAATTGACAAACCTCTGGTGAGAATCAACCAGGAGAAAGAGAAGGAGAAAGAGAGTGCATTAATAACCAATATCAGGAATGAAAAAGAGGATATTACAGATTCTTAGACATTAAAAAGAAAATAAGGAAGTATTATAAAATCTTTGTCAATAAATTTGAGTTTAAATGAAATAAATTCCTAAAATAATCACGATATATTCATTCAACAAAATATCACATAGCAGTAAAATGAAAAAATACAGCCACTCACAACATAGATGAAACTTAAATACATATTATTGAGAACAAGGAGGAAATAAAAAATAAACTTACATATTAACTGATACATCAGAGGAAACACCATGATGAGAACCAAAGAAATGATTATCCCAAAGATGGGGGAGTGGGTAGTGGTTACTCTTGAGGGGAGAGGGGCTATGATTGGGGAAGAGCACAGTGCATCCTGGAGTTCTGCTTACGCTGCTTTCTGGACCTGGGTGGTATTAATAGTTACATAGGCGTTTGCTTTAAAATGATTGGATTGGGCAGATCACGAGGTCAGGAGATCGAGACCATCCTGGCCAACATGGTGAAACCCTGTCTCTACTAAAAAAAAAAAAAAAAAAAAAAAAAAAAAAAAAAAACTGGCCGGGCGCGGTGGTTCATGCCTGTAATCCCAGCACGTTGGGAGGCCCAGGCGGGCAGATCAAGCGGTCAGGAAATCGAGACCATCAAGGCTAACACGGTGAAACCCCGTCTCTACCAAAATACAAAAAATTAGCCGGGCATGGTGGCGGGCGCCTGTAGTTCCAGCTACTCGGGAGGCTGAGGCAGGAGAATGGCGTGAACCCGGGAGGCGGAGCTTGCAGTGAGCTGAGATCACACCACTGCACTCCAGCCTGGGAGACAGAGCAAGACTCTGTCTCAGAAAAAACAAAACAAAACAAAACAAAAAAACTAGCCGGGCTTGCTGGTGCGCACTTGTAGTCCCAGTTACTTGGGAGGCCGAGGCAGGGGAATCCAGGGGAATCACTTGAACCTGGGGGGGCGGAGCTTGCAGTGAGCCGAGATCGCGCCACTGCACTCCAGCCTGGCGAAAGAGCGAGACTCCATCTCAAAAACAAAAACAAACAAAAAACAACAACAACAAAAAGATGATTGCCAATCTACATACACATTTTATATACTTTCTACATAAATATTACATCCCATAATTTTTAAAAAATAATACAGAACTAAAAAGAAAGTCATGTGGGTACATTATTTCACTCATTAGTTCTCTCTCATTCAAACACAATATGTTGCACACTCTAACAAAAGCATTCTTTTCTAAGTTACTAACACATGATTATGGAGGCTGAGATACCCCATGATTTGCCTTCTGCAAGCTGAAGACGGAGGAATGCCAGCGGTACAGTTTGAAGACCTGAGAACAGAGAGCCAATGGTGTAGATCAACCTTGTCCAACCCGCGGCCTGAGGGTGGAATGCGGCCCAGGATGGCTTTGAAGGCATCTGAACACAAATTCGTAAACTTTCTTAAAGCATTATGAGATTTTTTTCTTTTCTTTTTTTTTTCTAGCTCATCAGCTATGATTAGTGTTAGCGTATTTTATGTCTGTGTGACCCAAGACAATTCTTCTTCCAGTGTGGCCCAGGGAAGTCAGAAGATTGGACACCCCTGTAGATTCTAGTCCTAGTCTGAAGGCCTGGGAACCTGGAGCACCAAGGGCAGTTCCAGCTCATCAGGCAGAGTGAGAGATTCCTCCCTTCCTCCACTTCTTGTTTTATTCAGGCCCTCTATGGTAGGGACTATGATCAGCCACACCCGGGGAGGGTATGTGCTTTACTCAGTCTACTGATTGACATGCTAATCTCTTCCAGAAACCCCTTTACAGACACATCCAGAAAGAATGCTCACTAGATGTCTGGGCGTCCTCTTAAACATAATTAGCTGAGGGTGGTGGTGCACACCTGTAGTCCAAGCTACTCAGGAGGCTGAGGTGGGAGGATCACCTGAGCTCAGGAGTTTGAGGCTGCAGTGAACTATGATCATGCCACGGCACTCCAGCCTGGGCAACAGAGCCAGACGCTGTCTCTAAAAAAAATTGAAAATTAAAAAAAAAGAAAACTCTTAGCCAATAGGGCTGAAATATAATCTCTGTTTGGAGTCCAGTCTGTGTAACTCTTCTCTTTTTGTCAAAGTTCTGCTGATGCTCTTCTAGTATCTCACACTTTTTTATTGGTCTATGCTTCTCTGCCACTTCCTCATGTTTGGTTCTTTATTATTATTTGTGAGAAATGCTCCGTGTTTCTGTGACTGCTCAAAGATTACTTCTTTTGAAAGTCTTTTTGGAAGGAAAAATAGCTTCTAACTGGAGAGTTAGGTAATGAAGATGCTTTTCTATTGGATATAAATGTTGTCACCTGGTGCATCATTATCCAGCCTTTCTAGGGTTCCTATTTCATTTCCACCATGTTGTAGTCTCTACCACAGCACACTTAACTCACAATTTGGGGCTTGTTTTTACATGCATTAGTTAGATATTAAGTATCGGGTGAATTGGAGAAAAGCATCAGGTTAATTATGAAATAAATGGGGAGAAAATGTAAATGGATCTAAAAAGAATTTTTGAATTTGAGTATGTTGTATTGTCGAGATATGTCCTTTAAGTCTGAATTGAAGGATGTGGCAAATAGTGGTGTGTTTTTTTTATTTCAAAGTCAGGACATGAATCATGTAATTGGTAAATGGATTTAAAAAGCGCTCCGGCATCAGGATTTAAGAAAGGCTTCTGGTGAATGTAGAAACAAAGGAAGATCAAGTGAGGGAAAACCGAGTTCCATCTTAAAATCTGATGTTTTGGAAAAGAGTTGGGGGTAGCTGCAGGTGGCAACCCTTGAAACAGTCATTGGGCAGTCAGGGGTGGGAGTCTGAAGGCATGTTTTGAAAATTTTAAAAGTAATTCTGGAATAAGGTATCTAATGGGAAACAGACTTGCTTCCTGTTGTTTCCCATGGCACAGGGATAATCATTTAAGAATAATTGGCAATCGAATAATTGTTATTTAACTTACAATGGAGACCATTGTAAGTTTTTCTTACAGTGATTTGGGTTGATATATTTAAAAATTTACCTCTTCCTCTTTCTAAAGTCATGATGTTACAATTTGAAAACACATTGATTGAATTTGGGGCGGTCCTCAAACACGACTAGATTCAAAAGCTGAATAGATGGGTTGACAAATGAGGACACTGTTACCAGTTTAATCCCCATATGGGCCAATTAGTTTCACATAGAGAAGAACTCTGTTCCAAAGCCACAGATTGCACCATTAACCCCAGTCAGCCGTCTCCAAATTGAGTGTCATTGATCACAAGAGGCCCAGGTATGAGTGTCGATAGCTCAGCACAAACCCATCATCACCTCTGAGAGCAGAGCCCTCCTGTTATCTCATACATCCCTCATCCCAGACATGCCAGAGAATGTTACAGTAGGTTGGAGAAGTTGAAGGCCCCTCTGTGCCTCCACTTCCTGCACCCCACAATGTTATTATAAAAGGTGAAAAATTGTAGTTACGTAGCTTCCATTTTTGTATGAAATCTACATGCTTTAGAGGAAATTGATAATAGCATTATTGATAAGCAATATGACTGACAAGCAACAAATGATTTACGAATTCATTTCATTAACACTTAAGGGTACCTCAGAAATTCTACCATTGCCTCAAACAGCTGAGAAAAGCCAAATACGTGTTTTATAGCTCTTAGAACCTTATTACTTCTGGCTAGTTTGTAGAGTAATAAAATTTAATGTCAGGAGTAGAATTATATTAAATGTGAAATCTGTAAAAGATGACACCTAAAGTACTCGACTGGTCTAAAATGTAAATTTTTCTTAATCTTGTTTATTCTCAAAACAAACCAAATCATACCTAACTTCTTGCTACAGAAAAATTTCAGTGCCATCCTTAACTTGGGACTCAGCTCAGCCTGCAAAATCATCTCAAGGAGTAATTTGGGGTAAAATGAGGTCAAATTAAGGTAATTTAAAAATAGACATAATAAAAATAGTGCCATCCCTACCATCACTTCTACAAACCTATAAGAGATGTTGTGATATATGGATTCATTTAGCATACTTATCTTTTGGTAATAAAATGTAATTAACTTCATGATAAAACTGATTTTAGCAAAAAGCTGATGCAGTTTTTCTGTGTAACAGAGCCAATACGCTTGGTTTTTTTTATGAATCTTTCGAACAAAGCCAAACATTTGGAGAATAAAGGAACAATGATTTAAATCCAATGGCTGGGGGTCTGGGTAGATTTGTGATCCACTCCTTCTCAGGCAGGAATTACCTGCATACAGGACTAGAGTTCAGAGATATTTTCTAAATGTTGGAACGACTGTATTTTTCTTTATCTTCTGTCCGTGTGATGTTTCTTTTTGCATTCCTTGTCACTCTTGACTTGCTATTTCTTATCCTAAAGAGACACCCAAACACTAAACAGTTTTCCCTCCCTTCCAAAAGTACTATATAGTAAAGGTTTCGGAGAATTAAATAGCTAACCCTTTCTCCCCCTTGTAAATCTGGATCCCAATTGAGAAATACAATACAAAAAAGAATGGACACTGGCAAAGAAAATAGCAGCTTGACATTAGTAAAAGCTGGATTGGAGGATGTGTATTAGGCCCACAGACAAATGGGCTTGCAAACACTTTCCCCTAGAACCAGAACAGTACATGCCACACCCACAGGACAGGCCTCTTTTGGTATGAGGGAGCATTTGGGCCAACCCGTCTTCCAAACAGGGGACCCCAGAATGGGCTAAGTGCCCAGTACTTTCCCCCGGACTCCTCCATCAGATAAGTCTCTGGTGAGGCGGGAGTCAGGGATGACACAGGCTAGGAATGTAACTTTCATCCACATGGAAACAAGAGGGCAGAAAGAAAGGAGGTTGTCCCACCACACAGCTATTCGTTCTTTAAACTTGGATTTTCCCAAGGCATGCTGGAGTTCCTTCCTACAGTACTGACGGTGATTCCGAGGGACCTGTGCTGTCATAAGGTTGATGTGTTTTCTCAAGTTGGATTCCCAGTGAGACAGACTCTGGGATGGAGACAGCACTGCAGGAAGTTTGTGGGGTGTGCTCTCACAATCAATGACTGTCCGGGGTGAAGGAGGCAGGATTGGGCAGGGGGAAAGTGCTGTGCAGTCACAACAAAGACCCCAGCTGATCTCCTGGTAGGGGCTGTGGGGATGGGAGAGACACGCCCAGTGTGCCCATCTTTATAGGCCAGCGGACTCCTCCTGAACTGAGGCAAGGGGGCTGGACTTTCCACCTTCAGACCGTATGGTCACTGAGAAGGGGGTGTAATTTGCGGTAGAGTGGCTCTCTCAGTAGATGGCAATTCCTAGAAAAGGGGCTTAAGTGTCAGTGGCCAACAGTTCCAGCAGCTGGTGAAGTGGCTGCTTCCATCCTGAAAGGAGGGGGCTGCGGATCCCGGCAGTGACTGCAGCATCCACAACTTCAATGAAGGAAGTCGAATGCAATACATATACCACCTAACGCTCAAGGAAGTAAACTGTGTTATGGTTCTGTCTTCATCCTACATTATTTCCAACAGGCATCCAACAAGCATTACCACGTGGCCCTTCCTCCTCCATGCCATGAAGCATGAAACCTGTCACATTTCTCCCAGCCCTCTACAGAACTCTATCTACGCACATCCTTTTCACATTCACTCGTGTTCCAGAGGTGTACACCCTCCCTTCAAGGTGTATCCCTTTCTGTTGATTTTCCTCCCATATCCTTCAGAATCATTCCTTAGTATGTGACCTATTTTTCCTTCATTTTCAAGCTCTCCCTCTCAACTAGTTCTTTCTTTTCCCCCATTTATATTATCTAGTTTCTCTCATTCTTTTTTAAAAATTGTTTAAAAAATTTTTAAAGAGATGGGGTCTCACTGTATTGCCCAGGCTGGCCTCAAACTTATGGTCTCAAAGGATCCTCTCACCTCAGCCTCCCGAGTAGCTGCAACACCATGCCCGGCTCTTCATTCTTAATTTTTTTTAAAAAAAGAAGTTTCATCACCTTGGATCCCTTTCTGGCTATCATTCATTTCCCAAATTCAGGTGTGTAGGAAATGTAACATTATTTCTAGAACTCAACTCCATTTCTATTTTGGGCCTCCATTTTGCTGCGTGGTTGGAAAGTTCCTATCTGCCTGGGATTGTGATGATGCTCTGGAGGGAAGGCAGTGGGGAGAGTGACTTGCATGGGAGCAATTTGTCTGGACAGAGAAGGGCTACTTGTCTTGGTTGTCTGTTCATACTGTTGTCCTCTGAGATATTGGTCATCTTGATTGCCCCTTGATTGTTTGTCCTCAAAGTTACTTCTGATCTGTTCCTCTCTCCCCTCATTTCCATTTGCTGGTGTGCTGGAACCATGATGCTGATCCTGCACCATTGTAGGGCATGGAATCGCAGAAATCGTCCTAAATCCTGTGCAAACTCAGAAATCCTGATCACACTGGGATTACTGTGTTGCTGCCCAGGTTACACTGGGCCCCAGGATGCCCCGAGGGGCCTGCCTTCATTCACCATCAGGACATATCTACATCTGGTCCTTCCTTCCATCTAGGCTCCCTTAAGGAAAGGAAGCACAACTTCCCTCTTCTTTGGGAATCCTGAAGCCTGTCAGGTTGTTCACTCATCCTCTTTCTTGTGCTGTCCCCATGGGGCAGGTAATAGAACCAACCTCTCTTCCTCCTGCTAGACTGACATTCTTTCTAGTGGTGGTGGTGGTGGTGATGTGCATGAAACCTTGTTCTTACAGCATCACATCTTCTCCCTCATCTACTGTTTTAAGCCCCAGAGTCATTTCTATTTCCCACTGAGGGCTAGGCTTCTGAAACTACAAAGCCAGGAAAGGTCCTTTCGTCATTTCTCTGCTCTGTCATCTGCTTCCTGAGGCAAGGATCTTCTAGTTCACTCGACAGCCAGTAAGGACCATGGGGAGTCAGAAACTAGGGAACAACAGTTAATATCCCGGACTACTGTAACGTGCAGCTAGATGTAAGCAAAGTGCCGGCACAGAACTTGGCTCCCAGCAGGTTTCAATAAATATCAGTTTCTCCCCTCATCTCTCCTTGTTTCCCTCTTCCTCAATTTAAAGGCAGTTCAACGAAGCTTTCAATCCCATTACACCATGAAATTACTTCAACCAAGGTAAGCAATGACTTCCCAATTGTAAAATTCTGTAGGCAATTATCAGACTTGATCTTTTATTTCACCTCTGTGCAACATTCCCACTGCCAAACGCTGCCTTTTCTTGACATTCTGTCCCACCTTGGCTTTCATAACTCGTTTTCTCTTCCCACCTATTTGACTTTTTTTCCTCCATCTCCTTTTGCCCTCCAGTGTTAGTGCTTCCTAAGGTTTGGTTCTTATATCACATTGCTATTCGGAGCCACTTACCCCACGCTCTGATGCAAGCCTACATCCAGACCAAGTCTTTTAGTCAGATCCCTCCATTTCCATATTCAAAAGTGCTTCTGATATTAAATCAGTAGAGCGCTCAGTGGAGCACTTTGCACAAAGTAAGAACTCAACCGTGTTAGCTATAGTGTGGATTGCTCTATCTACCTGGAAGTCTCACAGGTGCATTTGCATTTTAACATGTCCAAAACGACTCATCTTCTTTTCTCTTCATAACCCGGCCTCTTGCCAACCTTATTCTCCAAAATTAGCAACAATAACCATAGTGTGTGCATGTTTGTCCATACACACACAGTCCATTCCTCCTCCCAGTGCCAGGGAGGGGAGAATTCTGGGCATCATCCTTCACTCCTTCTTCTATTTACTACCCCTCTGCCCGCCAACTGATCACTCATTCCTGTTGATTCTATATCATAAGTTATTTAAGAGTCTTCCTTCTCCCTCTCCACTGCTCCTGCATTCATATAGACAGCTCAAACTGGACTTGAATTATCGTATCACTTATGTCACTGAGACCTTCCCCCACCTATTTTATTTTCTTGGAGTCCCCAGTGTTATTCTCTTGTGTTTTTTGGGGTGCTCTTTTCACTGCAGGAATGTCCTCCTCCCTCTGCCTGATCAACTTTGGACCTCATTTTAATGCTCAGCTAAAATATCAATAACCTGTCTTTAGGTTGACCTGACTTACTCCCTCTCATTTCACTATTAATTGCTCCCAATGGTGTGTTCTCATACCCTTTTATACATATTTCTCTCATAGCACTTATTTGTTTTATAGTCACTTATTCATGTTGGTCTCCCTGGTAGCTGGAGCTTCTTGGAAGGAGACTCTGTGTTGAACTTAAATCGATCTCTAGACCTTTATCTATAGAGAGAGTCAAGAAATGTTTATGGAATTAAGTTGAAGTGAATGCCAAAATACAAACTGTATGATCTAAGGCTTAAAGCATTTTATCAGGGAAGACAATGGGACTAGGTAAATATGCAAATAAGTTTTATGATACCCTGAGTGGAGATTTAAGAAAAACAGGGTTATCATAACCACCATTAAGGAGAGAGTGCATGAAGAGTAATGAAAATTGGAGTCTTTTTCCTCACTCTTCATAAGTTTTCCCTTATGGATTATTTGAAGAAGCTTCTGCTCATAAATACGATTTCTAGATGTCACATAACTCAAAGACTTTCTCAGATATTTGGAAGAAGAAGACAGCTATAAGGAAGTAACTTTTCAGAAGATGAGGGGTAGAAAGAGACAAGGTAGGCAAACATGACATGCGTATTTATCAAATTGTTATTCTCTGAACATTGTATACTCAAAGATCCCAATAGCACTTTGAATGAAGCAAGAAAAAGTTAAGGAGTTTAAACTACGCCCCAAAGTCCAATATTTTCTCAATTTTTAATACCTTGATAAAGAACAAAGGAAGGCAAACCCTCTCTTTGGTAATCATAGACATTAAAGGGAAATCAAGGCAGTCTTACATTATTTTTAAAAATCTGGCCAGGTGTGATGGCTCATGCCTGTAATCCCAGCACTTTGGGAGGCCAAGGCGGGCGGATCACCTGAGGTCAGGAGTTCGAGACCAGCCTGGCCAACATGGCAAAACCTCCCTCTACTAAAAGTACAAAAAAAATTAGCCAGGCATGGTGGCACACACCTGTAGTCCCAGCTACTCGGGAGGCTGAGGCAGGAGAATCACTTGAACCTGGGAGGCGGAGGGTGCAGTGAGCCAAGAATGTGCCACTCCACTCCAGCCTAGGCAACAGAGCAAGACTCCATCTCAAAAAAAAAGTATGCAAAAATCCATCATTTATGATTCATGCCTGCATCTAGAGGTTTTCATAGCTCAGCATGACCTTTGTGCAAGTGACCGACTCTCATACAAATTGTACATTTATCCTTTTTTATACTTGATTTTGTGGCATCTATATCATAGCATCTTCTGAGATAAAATTTCAAAGGGTTCAACTTTAAATTGCTTAATAAAAAATTTGAGAAATTAGCTAAGGGCAAGAGTCTCTAAAAATATTTAATAGTAACGTAGGTAATAATGTATGAAAAAGGCAATTTGTTGGAACATATTTATCAAACAGAAATACAAATATGTAGAGAAGACACTATTTTAATTAATTTTGTGCCTTGAACACCTGTTAAATATCTTATTCAGTAATAGCTGATAATTTTTTAATACATGTGAGCACACATCTAAATAAGCAACAGAGAAAATAGTTACAGCATAGAGAAGATTTTTTTGTCTTTTTTTGAGATAGAGACGTGCTCTGTCACCCAGGCTGCAGTGCAGTGGTGCAATCATAGCTCACTGCAGCCTCAACCACCCGGGCTCAAGTTATCCTCTCACCTTAACCCCTTCAACCACCAATAGCTGGGACTACAGGCGTGAACCACCATGCCTGGATAATTAAAAAAAATAACTTTAGTAGAGATAAGGTTTTGCTATGTTGCCCAGGCTAGTCTTGAACTCCTGAGCTCAAGTGATTCTCCTGCCTTGGCCTCCCAAAATGCTGGGATTACAGGCATGAGCCACTGCATTTTGAATGAGGCAAGAGAATATGCTTTTTAATAGGAATTTTAAATTGAAGTTTCAACTGAGATCTCAAGATACAAAAGTATGAAATTTCAAGCTTGGTCACTATTATGAAGGAAAGAATTCAAAACCAAATCTATGACTCAAATACTCTCATCCACTTAAAACATATACAATAGTGGAGAAAATTCAAGATAGGTTTGTGGAAGGGAGACTTGCACTCATCACCTCCTGTGCAGAGAAAATGGAGGATGTTTCTTCGGCTCATGCCGGGGACTTCCACGGGTTTCCATTGATTGTGTGGAGAGCTTGGAATGTGTTTCCTGCAATGGGGGTTGGATGCAGGGCAGGGGCATTTTGTGGACTGGGATCTGACTCCCATTCAGAAAACTGGGAAACAGGCTGCCCAACTGCTTGGAAGAGAATGGCCTGCTGGGCAAAGAATGTTTCAATGTTTTCTGTAGCCCAGAGTCCTATGGGAGGGAGAGAACTTGCCTGGAGCCATCTGGAGTTGCGCCTATGAGACTTTCTCCCAGAGGGGTGAGAAGACTCCAATAGGACTGAAGAAACTAAAGCTGAGGGGCCATCAGGAGCGCCAGCTGAAGGTAAGGGTGCATTACCCACATCGCAGAGATTGCAGTTAGGGTAGCCCAGAAGCAACTCTCCGAAAAGCCCCTGGACAGCTAGCATGAAGCACATGCCGGCAGCCTCATGGGCATGCTACCTGTACGGAATACAGGCTTGTGTACTTGGCTTAACGCTCTGCTCTCAAAAAGTTTTAAATTCTTAACTCTTCTCCAGCAAGGGGCCCAGCATTTTCATTATGCACTGGGCCTTGCAAATCATGTAGCTGGTTCTGTGTGCTAGGCTGAGAGAGTGCAAAGCTGGCTGACAGCGGTACCAGCTGGGTAAGAACTGTTTTGTCCTTCACCCAGAGACTGACTTGTGGAGTGGAAGAGGAAAATAAGATAGAGAAATAGAGAAGCTGAGCCTGCCTGCTTTCCCCACTACAAAGTTTGAATTCTAAATCAAATTCAGAGCTTTGATTCAAATCCAATTACTGAATCGAGATAGTGTTTGCAATTTAAAATGGTCATAGTTCTGTCTAGTCAACAGAAAAATTCTGAGACTGATTTTCTCCTACTATAAAAAGCCAGTATTATTTAACAAAATAGCACAGAATCAACAATTGAAGGACTTCATAGAGGGTTAAAATAGTGAGATGTAGATTTGAAACTTTTCAGTTAATTGTGAAAGTGTTTTGATTGGCAGAAGAAACTGTGTTTTAAAATGGATGGGGAAACTTTCTGGAACAGGACAGTATTTACATGAGATAACCGAGGAAGAAGTTGAGGTAATTATCCAGGTGAAGGTTGGAAATTTACTGTTGTTATTTCACTGCTAGCTGTTGCATGGGAAAGTCCAATCCCCACAGAGCTGATTCAGAAACAACTAGAAATGCACACCACCTCAGGAAGTTAACATTACATACTAAAATGAGGCTGTAGGATTATAATATGTATTAATTTATCACATACCACGATTCTCCTGCACAGCCAGGAATAATAATTGTGTATGCTTGTTGCTTTGGAATTAGAACATGAATTCTAGCTCGATGCTCCACAAGCAGTTATTTATTAGTGGTCAGTAACTTTTTGTGACCCAAGTGTCCTGAAATATTAAATGTAATGTCCAGAGATTGCTTAAGTTGCTAACAGATTTAGCCGTCTGACAATGAGAATATGAACAAAAAAAATTCATTCATACTCTAATAACATAGCAAAAAAATAAAACCTGAGAACAAAATAAGAGGGAGGTTTCCACAGGGCTTTAAGTAACCCAGATTCACACAGCACCAGATTAGTGATATATCTGGCCCTTGGCTATGCTCATATGTTCTTGTACAGGCACCTGGCCTGTGCCTTAAGAAAGACATCAGGACTTTGGGAGGCTGAGGTGGGCGGATCACGAGGTCAGGAGATCGAGACCATCCTGGCCAACATGGGGAAACCCCATCTCTACTAAAAATACAAAAATTAGCTGGGCGTGGTGGCAGGCGCCTGTAATCCCAGCTACTCGGGAGGCTGAAGCAGGAGAATCACTTGAACCCGAGAGGTGGAGTTGCAGTGAGCCGAGATCATGCCACTGCACTCCAGCCTGGTGACAGAGCCAGACTCTGTCTAAAAAAAAAAAAAAAAACAGAAAAACAGACAGACAGACAGACAGACATCAGGGAAAGGGAGAAAAAGACAATTAGTACTGATAACTATTGTAATGAACTGTGTGCCTTAGTCAGTTTGGGATGCTGTAAGAAAAATATCACAGATTGGGAGGCTTAACCAACAGAAATTTAAGCTATACTCCTTTAGAAATTGTTCTATTAATCATCTAGAATATATTCACTAATTACAGCTGTAGACTTAACGTGGTTATTTCAGAACCAACTGTGGCAGAGAATGCCAATATAGATTTTTGTATTTGTTTGTAGCAGCTATTGTTAGTTTAACATAAATATATTCACATTTATGGTAAAGGAATCTTAGCTTGCTGACCACTCACTGTGTTTTAGATACTAATATTTCATAAAATTTAATTCACATAAGTTGTTGAAGTAGTTGTAACTGCCATTTCACAAATAAGGAAATATAAGGCTTAGAAAAATTAAGTAACTTGCCTGAGATGAGACAAACTCTGCAGAGAGAGGATTTGAACTCTGGTCTGCAAGTCTCCAAAGCACTTTTATGTTCTTTCCAATAAATCACGTTACATCCCAAGAGGAAAATACTATATAAACTGTACATAGTACACAGATTTATTAGAGCCGTCATTAGAACATTAGAACATGTATTTCTTCCACAAACAGGTATTCTGTGTCTGCTTTGTTCCATGCCCTCTCCTAGGATGACACACCCTTTCTATTAAGACAGAAGAGCAGTAACTTAATTTTTGTTATGTGATGCCCTGGTCTGAATTTTTGTGTTTCCCCAAATTCATAGATTGAAATCCTAACTTCCAAAGTGTGTTAGTAGATGGGGCCTTTGGGAGGTGATTAAGTCATGAGGGTTTGAGCCCTCAAGAATGGGATTAGTGCCCTTATAAAAGAGGCTCAAGATGGCTGGGAACATTAACTCATGCTGGTAGTCTCAGCTACTCAGGAGGCTGAGGCAGGAGGGTTGCCTGAGCCTAGGAGTTCCAGGCTACAGTGAGCTATGATCATGCCACTGCACTCCAGTCTGGGTGACAGAATGAGACACTGTCTCTAAAAAAAAAAAAAAAAAAAAAAAAAACAACAAAGAAAAAGAAAAAGAGGTCCAAGAGAGTTCCCTCACTCTTTCTAAAATGTGAAGACACAGCAAGAAGTCACCACCTACAAACCAGGAAACGGAACCCTCTTTAGACACCAAATCTGCTGGTGCCATGATCTTGGACTTCCCAGCCTCCAGAACTGTGAGAAATAAATTTCTGTTCTTTATAAGCTACCTAGTTGATGGTATTTTGTTATAGCAGCCTGAATGGACTAAGACATTAGATGCTCTGAAATTCTAAATATCCTTCCAGTTTTAGTTACTCCCAAGAAATGGGGGAAGTACCAAGAAATAGCTCAGTATCAAACTTAGTCATTGGTAGTAAAGAAGAATGAACATTTTTCTTAAAATGAATAAATAACTAATACTGAGAAATGTTAATCTTAAGAATATTTGGTGTAATAAAGAATGAAGGCTTTCTTTGCAAAATTTAGGAGGGACATTCCCAGGGATGAACATGCTGGCTGCACTCCATATTACTGGATGTGATAACAAAATAGAGAAGAAATCTACCACACACTCTGTATGGAGTACCGACATACCACAATCGGCAGATTCTACCAAATTCATACCGGCATAGTCTAAGAGAAAGAACAACGTTATTTAAATAAATAATATCCCTAATCAATAGTAATTCAATAACAAAATCAAACATGCTTTTATTATGGAAACTTATGAAACTACTATAGTCCACAAGCAAAAATTGAACAGAAATAAAAACTTATAATTCTTCAAATACATGAAGCCGAGAGTATATAATCCATTCTCACATACTGAATTTTAGGGTTTAATCCACCTAAGATTTAATGCAATCTGACCAGACTGGGAGAAATATTTTGAGGTAGTATGGCTCATAAGACACATTCAGTTCTTGTAAATATATTGATGTTAAATTTGGGAACAAATGAACATCTCACTGATAAGAGATATCTAGTAATTCAGTAATTCCGGATACTCTGACTCTCAAAAGTTAAGTATTTAAAGTTTCAGACACTCTTTTTAGTGCTGGTGTCATAAGGGACTATTTTCTTAAAAATAAAAAGCAAGTTGGGGTACTATGGAATAAAAATATGACCTATTTTTGTGTTTTACAGCAAGAAACCTGTAACCCAATAATTTTACCAATAGTGACTGTGAGAGGTCTGATAATTATGGGAATACATTATGTATATTTTATAGATACAACGAAAATAGGACAAAGTCTGTTTATTCATCAGCTCATAGCATGCTGGGAAATATGGGAAAAGGGGAAAGGCATGGTGCAGGACTTTCTCTCGGACTGTGTTATCTTAAAATGGCAAATTTTGCTCCAGGGTGGTCAGGGAAACAAGTTTCCCTTACAAACGGAGAAAACTGACTTTTTTAAAAAACCCTTTTATTTGGTTTCCTACTCCTGTCCACAATCCCAACAGATGCACAGTTCATAAAAGATGTGAACCTGGAAGTATAAATATTAATACCACACAGTACATAAATACCAGGGGGCTACAGTATAAGAAAATGACTACCATAAGAGAGTTGTCAAGACATAGAAAAGCAGAGAATGAAGTGCATGTCAGGAGGAGGAACTCTTCTGCAGAAAGAAGCCACAGACATTAACAAAAATGTTGCAGTGGGAGAAAGTAACAGGTACATCAACAAGGCTAGAGCCACGTGGCGGGATAATAGGGATGCTGCCCAGGTGTTTCCAGAAGCGATAAAACTTGTAAACTTTTATAATTTTCTGAAGTGCGCTGCATGGTAAAATATGGTCATTGTGCAAAAAAGTTGTCCCCAATGCAGTCTCAGGAGTCACTGACTTCAAAATAAAGAAACGGTCTCTTCGTAGTAAATGTAGTACCTCGTGGCTTTCCCAAAGTCATTGAAAACGAATATCCCTAAAAAGGGTGTGATTTCAAGAGTGAATTACGATCCGCCCGCAATCTGTGTACCGTGTGTGGACGAATGCTTGCAGCGAGCGGTGCGGAAGGCTGTTCAGAGAGGTGTTTTTGGTCTGCCGTGGTCTCCTGGGATAGTCAGGAATGATTCTTGCTACGGGCTGACCCGGGTTCCCTCTTCCCCGAGGTGCAGGGGGTGGGGTCGGCTTCTGGACTGCTCCGCGCTCTCCGGTCCCTACCTCATTGGGCACCGCCCACTTCGTGGGCTTCCAGGTGCGAGCCCTCGCGCCGGGCCCATCTCCCCAAGGGGCCGCGGCGGACTGGAGGAGACGCCCGGGGCCTGGCGGCGCGCGCGTCCGCGGCCAGGGCGGGTGGGCGGATGCGCCGAGGAAGCGGCTGGGCGAGGAGCCTCCGCTCCCGGGCCTCGGGTGCCCGCCAAGGGCCACGCGGGCGAGGGGGAAACCCAGAACTTCCCGCCCGGGAGCGACTGCCCCCGCTCCCGGCTCTGGCTGGCTAGGGGGATGTTCTCGCGAGAGGAGAGGGGGCGCGGGGCACCGCTGGTTTGGGGGCGCGGGGAAGCCTGAGGACGAGGGCCGGGCAGGGAGGGGAGCAGAGGCGGCGGGCAGGGCCGGGGACGCGGGGAAGCCGCTCCCGCCAGTCGCCGAGAGCCAGCCCCTGACGTCAGGAGTTTTCCTCAAAGTCAACAACAAGCCCCGCGGCGACGGCGAGAACCGATCGGCGGCGGCCCCGAGCGGGAGGAAGGAGGGGGCGGGGAGGCGGCGGGGGGTCCCCTCAGCGAGGCGCAGCCCGGGAGGAGGCCGCAGAACCCCTCCCCGCGCCGGGCGCGCCCCGGGGCCCAGAGCCGCCGCCCCGCCGGCGTGACCCGGCCCCCGCCCGAGCGGTGTTTTCTGGTGATGAATTTGTAGCCGATATCCGATTCCCATGTAGAGTCTCCGCCTCCTCCTCTCCCCGCCGCCGCCCTCTCTCCTCCCTCCCCCTCCCGCCGCCGCCGCCGCCGCCGCCGCCGCCTCCCGCTCCAGCTCCGCGGCCCGGCCCGGCCGGCTCCCTCCCTCCCTCCCCTGCAGCCCTTCGCTTGCCCTCCCGCCGGCCGCACCGGGCTCCAGGAGGCCAGAGGCTCTGTGGGGTGGGGGGAGGACAGGAGGGGAGGAGGAGGGAGGGGGGACCCCCGAGTCGCCCCCTCTCCTCCCCCCGCCCCCCCCCGGCTCCATCCTCCGCCGCCGCCCGAGCAGCTGCGGGGCCGCCACCGCCGCCGCCGCCGTTGCAGGTAACAGCCACCGCCCCCAACTCTAGCCCCCTCCCCGCCTGGCCTCCACTCCCTCCGGGCCCCGGGCCCCGGTCCGCCCTCCCTGCCTCCCTCAGGCGGGGGATGGCGGCGGGGTGGGGTGAGGCGGGGGCTTCTGGGTTGTCACCGCGCCGGGGGCGTGGGCGGGGGCTGGGTCACCGGAGGCTTCGGGTGTGGGTGTGGAGGCCGGGGGATGCCCAGCGCGGTTGACACCGACACCCCCCGCTTTCCGGGGAAAGCTGGGGGGCGGCGGTGCGCAGCGGGCCGGGGGAGGGGTGTTCCCGGCCTAGCGGTACCGTCTGTGTCTGGGCTGCCCCGGCCCGGCGCCTGCTGTCTGCGCAACTCTCGCTCCTTCCCCTCGCCCCTCCCCGCCCGGGCCGCGCGGCGTGGGGAGGGGGCGCCCGCCTGGACCGGGGGCGGCGGCGAGGTTATATAACGCGTGGAGCGCCGGTGTCAGTGTGTTTGGGTTGGGGGGAGGGAGCCGTCTGCCGCGCGCCCTGGCGCTGAGGCTGTCTGCGCGTGGGGTGGGGTGAAGGCGAGGATGCACAGGCGTCCCCGGGGTCTCCTTCCTTCCCCCACCCTTCCCCGCCACTGGCGCGCAGGAAAAGACGGCACTGGTGGGGTGGGGGGGGGTGTGTGTGTGGGAGGTGGGTAACGTGCTTGTCTGTGTTTTTAATAGTAGTGGGGTTTTGATCCGCTTGGGAGTTGTGTGCTAAGAATAGAAATGTGCGGAAGATGCTGGGTTTGGCTGATCCAGTGATGCTGTCGCTGCTGGCGGCGGCGGCAGCTCTGGCTGCAAGTAAACAGACCAGCCTCTTCCTTGTCCACCTCCTCCGGCGCATCGGTCCGCATCAGCCATGATGCCGGTGGGGCCCTTCAGAGCCCAAAGTTGAAGCCTAGCTGGTTGCTGTGTTGACCCTGACGCCGAGGCGGGGTCACCATCCCTTGTTTGGGATTTCCCGGGAATCTACAGTTAGCCTAGAGATAAAGAATCTCGTTGGGGCCAGGTTTTTCCAATACCGGTATTTACTGTTTATGTTCTGAAAGCAGAGGAAATGCTTACCCACAAGTCAAAGCTGGGATGCTCACATTTCTTCCATCAAAATAATGTTGTTATGAAAATAAAACCAACTCATTTCACCAATGTGGCATTTTGGTTGAAAGCCTGGTAGTTTGCAATTGATGAAGTTTCCAAATAGAAAGTCAACAGTGAAACCTATGCATCTATATTGGGTAATTTCTAGCCATAATAAAGTGTTCACACTTTGATTTTAGTTGAGGCTAAAGTAAAAAATAATGGCTTTTTGTAGTTAATACATTGGCAGTTGTCTCAACAGTTTAGACATGTGTTCCGTATTTGGTAAAGCATGGTCATATATATCTTTTAGTAGAACTATACATCACTAGGCAACCACTGGGTTTTGTCAGTGGTTGAAGCTGACAAATGAGTGAAACTCATTGGTTTAGGTTATGTATTTACTTAGGAAAACGAAGGTGGAAGAGTCTAATAAAGATGGTGTAGGAAATGAAGATTAGTCTTCAGAACTTGAGTATCACTTGCAAAATATGTATAAACGAATACAAACATTCCGGGGGTGGTTGTCTAAAACATGAAAATATTTTATAATTAAAATAGCAACTTATTACTAAGTTACTAGTTTTCCAAGGTTTATGACTTAATGCACAATTATATGCAAGATATATATCCGGACTGTAATTGTTTTCCTTTTGCCAGTACATTATCTTGACTTGGAAAGTTTACCAAGGAGATAGTACTTGAAAGTTTACAGGGAGATGGTACTTGAAGATCTTTTTGTTTTCCTTACTAGGGTTGACCCCAATATCTTTGATTGGCTTGAGGTTCCAGTTTTAAAGTGAGGGAGGACAAATATTACATGAATGAGACTGTTGAAATTTAGATGAATGTAGGGTTTTAGTTTTCAGTTGTGTATTTGCATTGTGGTTTTGCAGCATGTTTTCTTACAGCGTTTTAAAAATAGTCCAAAGTAATCCTGCAAAAATTGTGAAATTATTATTTGTATTCATTTGGTTTTCTTTCCATAATTATTACTGGAGTGAATTGTTTTCCAATTTAAAATTAATTTTTGGCTTAATAATCTTGACATCGACTCTAAATTGTATATGTCAGAGTACTTTAAGGTTTTGCTTTGGACTTTTTAAAAATTAATTTCATAGCTGTAAAATATTTTAAATAAGATTATATTTAACAAATACTGGAGTGTGAACTGTGTGCTGGTTTAATTAAAAACTTTTAATATTTACATTTCATTCAGAAAATCACTGTCAGAAGGAATCTGTTTTCAGAATCACTGCAAATCTAAATAAACGTGTTGATTAAACTTACTAGGGAACAAATGGACTTAGCATAGAGACTTGTGGAAAGTAAGGACTTATTTTTTAAGCTGTAGCTTTTGATGTAAACATCAGAAATTTTCTCATAAAAATTCAGTGGAAATTTCCAGCTATCTGGGTTTCTTTAAAATGAGGAACCTGTTTTACAAATTGATTTTGTAGAAGTTTAGCCTTTACTTAAACTTTGTGTATTTTCGTGAAAAGATAGCTATGTTTTCTTTTGTTATTATATCTTTTAGTTCAAGAATTTGTCCTTGGGAAGGTAAGGCAATCACTGTTAACAACTTGTTAGTTGGATGCTTAGCATGATTTGATAGGAGCTTGTCTTTATAGTGTGATTAAGTTTTGAAGTGTTAAAAAGAAAAATTTAAAACTATCTTAGATTTGAGCAACAAAATGCAAGAACTGAAAAACCATTTTCATTTTGAGCAAATCAGTCTTGTGATCTGACTGGCATTTTTATTTTTAAGTTAATATGCATTAATAATACAATTAATTTTTGTTAGAAGATTTGTGTTACTCCAGGTTTCAGCATGTGCATCAGTATTTTAAATCCTGGTCACACAGCATACCTTCTTTTGGAAAGATAGTCCTGAATCTTCCGACAACAAATACTTTGTCCTGATCTTTTACATGGGATAGGATTAGATTCAGTTTAGAGTTAATGCTAACCAATGCCTGGTAAGCAGTTGCCATGTGCCAGGCACTGTTCTATGTGCTTTACCTGTATTCATTTAATCTTTCAAACAACCCCTGCTACACTTTTGAAAGTGATTTTCACATAAGAAAAACTTATTGTGGCATTCTAAAAATACCTTTTATTTAAACTTTCCTAATTCTGCAACACTTCTAGTGTTTTTCTTGTTTGTACCTATTATTACAGTTAACAGTGATAATTCTAAATTTGCAAAATTTGGTACAATAATTTCCATAGCATCAAGTTAATAAAAGTGTATTGACTGGCCCATTAACATCACCTTTCATTTGTTTAAAATGCCAAATTAAATAACTCAAATGTTTACAGATTTTATTATAGCATCATAGTCTTTAATCAAATTAGATGTAAACTCATTTTCTCTGCCAAGTAATCTTTGAATACTAATGGGTAGATAAAATTAATATATGCTTCTTGACTTGTTGATGTGTTTTTTAGTTCTGTTTCTTTTCAGTACTCTATCACCAACTACAGGTATTTCTCATTTCTAAATATTATGAGAGGAAAGTAAAAAGATTTACTAGAAGAAAACACTAGAATTGCAAATGATAATTTTTCTTCCCTATATTAGATAATTCCTATATATATATGGATGGATTTAAAAAAATTTATAATTAGGGAGATTCCCAAGACAGATTTTAGGAGGATTTTACATGTATATTGGAATCTATATTAGAAAGCTTCTGACTGTATTTGGGGGACTAGGGGATGGGAGGGGAAGGAGGACAGTATTTTTCCAATAATGGAGCTTAGCCCAAATTTTGTCTTAGTTGAAATGCTGTTTGAATGTTTTATCTTCCAATTATCAAACTTTTGAGGACATGAACTATGTATGTATAATCATGTCTTTCACTTATGATGCCATCTATATATGAAGTAGATACTCCGTAGATTTTAACTTGCAGAATCATAAATATTAGCTCTGGAAGAGCTATAAAGCTATTCAGAGTTCATCTAATGCTATACTTTCATTTTTATGGCTCCGGAAACTGAGGCACAGATAATTAAAGTGACCTTATACAGCATCACTCTGGGTGGGGCAGGGACTCAAGTTTCTTGGTCTTTCTGGTGCTCTTCCTAATACACCATTGTGATGAACCTTGTTAGAGGATTCCATACCTATTGGGTAGCTCAGTTTAATCTGGGGGTAAATTCTGTCAAGCTGATTCTTGGTATTTAATGGACCATATATCAATTGCATTTTATATGTATGTATGGATTTTTAAAAATTTATGATGAGGCTCCCAAGACAGATTTTAAAATGATTTTACATGCATATTACAAAAATATGGCCAACTGTGCAACCAAATTCTTTTTCTTTTCTTTTCTTTTTTTTTTTTTTTTTTTTTGAGACAGGTTCTCACTGTAGCACCCAGGCACGGTCACCACTCAGCATAGCCTAGACTTCCTGGGCTCAGGTGATCCTCCCACCTCAGCCTCCTGAGTAGCTGGGACTACAGGTGCCTGCCACCACTCCCAGCTAATTTTTGTATTTTTTGTGGAGATGGGTTTTGCCATGTTGCCCAGGCTGGTTGTGAACTCCTGGGCTCAAGTGATCTGCCTGCTTCAGCCTCCCAAACTGCTAGAATTACAGGCGTGTGCCACTGTGCCTGGCCACCTGAAATTCTTTTAGTAGCAGTCCCCAACCTGTCCATGGTATTATACGTGCCTTCACATAGAGGCAGCCTACGCTTTACATGAGAAATGGAGGGAATAATTTATCAATAGCTTGTTCAGTGATTTAGGTGAAACAGGAATCTAATAAGCATTTTTCTATTAGTTTCAAATTAAAATATTAAGTATATCACACAGTGCAAGTTGCTTTTTTATTTTTAATAATGGACATGTTGATTGAAATGGCACTCAGATGCCCTAAACAGGAGTAGGGAAACGGCCAGGAAAATGCTTCATGTTTTTGTAGAAATGTTTTAAAGTTAATAAAATTGATTTTTCAGAATTGGCAGTTTGGAAGAACTGATACGTTGTTTGAAAGTTAGGAATTTTGCCTATTCAGGTATTTTGCCATATTCTGAACCTCAGTGAAGTTATCTATAGAAAGAGCTTTAAGAAAATCCCACAAAGTGCTCTTAAGAGAGGAAAGATACCCAAAGTATATAGTTTATGTGGCTCACTTTCTCTATATGATGTGTTTTTTAGCAGGATAACAACTCTGAAAATAGGGACAGACTGCCTTGGAATTATTTGAAGTACAGAGCAAATTGCCTTGAATTTCCTTTCCATTTCAGAATGTTTCTTGTCTCTCATATCCTTCTGAAAGTTTGATATAGCCCTATGTATTTATTATGGTACATATTAGTTTCACTTACTTCTTGAAATCAGAAAATGCCACAGAACTATATTGTGGTTACCCTTGACCATCATTTGTTTTTCAAAGTTGCAACAGTCTGTTGTGTTTGAACTTCAGATGTCCTTTACTAATTCACTTTGGCTATCATATATAAAGAATATTAAAAAATTGTGGGGAGCAAATACATTCTACATAGTATTAATTACAAAGAGTTTAGAGAAAGTTGTATTATTGAATTGTATTCTGGCTTTTAACTTAGAAATTAACTTACAGGAAACTATTAACCTATAAATTTTGTCCTTGTTCACAAGAAAGAGAGTTGTTGGGAGACTTTTAGCTTTATGTTAACCTACTTTTAGTCTTCTGTTATTTCATTTGTGATGCCTTAGTTATATTTTTAATTTATTTAAAAACATTTTACTTTTTGGACTTTTGAAAAATCTGATACAGAAAAAATGTTCAGAACTATTTGCAAATGTTAATTATATGTTTTTGAGAGTTCATATTGTATTACTTGGTAGAAAGCATACCAAATTGATAGAAGACTTGAAGGTAGTCACTTTTTTTTTTTTTTTAACCTGTTGGTAACTTATTGTAACTAGGGGAAGTGATGTTATTATTGATTGGTCACAGGTTCAAAATTGTGGCTGTAATAACTACAGCACAGATTTATTTTTTAGAGTCAAATGAATTGATATATGTGAAAGCTCTTTGATAAGTTACAAGTTTGGGAAAGATTTTTAAAGAAACCACTTAGTTTTACTTACCTCCCTGTAATAATCGTTGTCACAGAGTAGACAATACATATTTATTGACTGAATAAGTATAGGTATGTTACATATTTTTTGAGTAGAAATTTTCAAAAGATGTTTGAAGAAGTTTACTTTTTGCTTAAAATTGAATGGCTGGTTACTATAAGCAAACACGTATCTTTTACAAATTCTTAAAAGTATCATTAAGAAAATATGCCATTCTTTCCCATTTTTCTTCCCATAATTGATAATTTTGGTTAGATTAATGCTATAATATATATCGATATATTATAAATGTATCTTTTTCACCATTTTTGTTGAGATCAAGTTTCAACTTCAAACAAAACCACCATCAGTACTATAAATATATATATTATCAATATATTATCATCAATATATCGATATATATTTATAGTACTGATGGTGGTTTTGTTTGAAGTTGAAACTTGATCTCAACAAAAATGGTGAAAAAGATAACATTTATTGTGTTCTAGTCATTGTAATTAATGGAGGTCTATAGGAAACATACCTTAAGGAATAGGGCAGAGTATTTATTATAATTTTAATTATAATTTCTCTATAAGTGCTTTTTTAATGTTTAAATTCAGTTTTATTTTTAAGATGGCTTAAGACCATTCTCTCTGCTGATTTATGTTTGTTTGCTTAGCCTGTTCTTTGTTAGTTATCTAAGGCTGCATCTTCATCATTCATCCACTCATTCATTTGTTCCATATTTGCCAGCATCGCGTAAGTGCTAGGCACTGTCAAATTGCTTTACTAAATTATGTGATTGAATGAAGTAAAATATGCAAAATGTTTTGTAAATTATAAAATGACTTTCAAATGCCATTACTATTATCATCAAATTCTCAAGCAGTCAGTTCAGAATGAAGATACCTTTAGTGTAATTGTTTTGTGTAAAATCTAAATGGAATCTGTCAAGAATTTTGTGTGAAACTTTATAAGAATGGGAAGAATTAAATTAGCAATGAAATGTTCAATACAATAAGCTAAAAAGAGAAACCAAATTTTGTTATAGTTCGTTGGATGGAACACATCTGTAGAAAAGTTAGGAGTATAGAAGGAGGTGAACTTTTGTCTACCCTGGGAAACAGATGACAAAGTTCCAGCTCATCTTGTGGATTAGTGTTTTTAGTTAATATGGAAGACTGAATGGGACAGTGTACATGCTGTGGTGCAGGAGCATTGCTGCTGTAGGAAAATTAAAGAACATGGTTTGCTGCTTACTAGTCAATATAATTGTTTATTTCTAACTTATTGATCATAATTCCAGAGTAGTGTACCTATGACATCTTTTAAGTTATTTTCAAAGAATGTATCATTTTAGCCCGTAAAGACCCAGGAGCAATTTTTAAAGCTGAAAATTATGGGTAATATTTGATAATAGTTTTAAGTGAAAATGGGTAAAGCCATCTCTATAATGTATGCTTGGGTTCACTGCCTCTGATGAAGATTGTAAATTCTGTCCTGTTGATTTAACATACATCTTAACAGTTTAATCTTACACATATGAGCACTGATAAAAAACATTTATCTAAAGCACTAGTTTTTAGAAACAGTTTTGTTATAAAACAAAATTCATTGATTTTTGGGTTGGTCTGGATATTTCAGTGTATTGTTTTAAACTGAAGAAGTAATGTGAGTGTAAAGAGCATATGCCTGGTTGTCTGGTCCTGGTTGGCCATTTGGTGACTCTTTGATCTTGGGCAAGTTACTTCTTCTGTCTTGGTCTCTGTTTCTTCAGCTATAAAATGAGGGTCCCTCCAGCTTTAGTATTCTGATAATAAAATGTTCACTTCAAAATACAGAATCAATTTTGAAAATTTTTTTTAGTGTTCTTTAAAAAGATACTGTAATACAAACCATTTTAATACAAAAGTATGTATTTTATAGATGTTTATTGGCTATATATTATTTTTTGTTATTACTAATTATTACCCTGATCTCTCTTCCATTTCTACTCCAAGAATAGTAAGACCTGAATTGTCTTTTACTCATATTATATAGTTTTTTAGTACAAAACCAAGAATGGTCTTAGTAGATGTTCAGCCCCTTGCTCAACATCAACAAAGTATTACCAAAGAGAAGGGCAACAGTGCAGCTCTTCTAGAGATATCATGCACCAGTGTCTGCCGGTATTTAACTTATAATTCTTTATGCAGTGTAAGTAGTTAACCCTTTCAGTTATCTAGCCCTATATTATGTAGGCAGTTGGCCATGTTGGATTCTTTAGGATGTTACATCAAATTAAAATGTTTTTTAATGTTTAGATTCTTTATTGAAGGTTTTTTGGCTTTTTTTTTTTTAACATGTGTGGTGAAATGAGTCTTATTATGTGGCCATTTCCTATGACAGTAATAAATTTAGGCTTTGCTGAGATAAAGTTATACATATTTATTTATTTTAGAACCTTTAATATGCCAATAGTGACGTTTCAAGAGTATGATTTGTGGAATATCTCACTAACTAGCCCACAGAATTTCTCTTTTTATTTTCATTTTTTTTCTAGAATTTCTCTAATTTAGCATTCTGTCAAACAAATGTATTTTGGGAAAATACATCCAGATTCTAATACCCCCTTTTTTTTAAAAAAGAGACAGGGTCTTGCTCTGTTGCCCAGGCCAGAGTGTGGTGGTGCAGTCATAGCTCACCGCAGCTTTAAACTTCTGGGCTCAAGTGATTTCTCCCACCTCAGCCTCCCAAGCAGCTGGGACTGCAGGTGCATGCCATGATGCCCAGCTAATTGTAAATTTTTCTTTTTTTTTTTCCTTTTTGTACGGACATAGTCTCACTTTGTTGCCCAGGCTGGCCTTGAACTCCTGGACATAAGTGATCCTCCTGCCCTGGCCTCCCAAAGTGCTGGGATTACAAACTAATATCCCTTTTTGACACTCTACAGCAACAGACTCATGGTGATTTTGAGGAGTCTCAGCCTTACCTATAGGTTCTGCCTGTGACCTCATAATACATGAGGCTGGTGGTCTTGCATTCAGCTACATAGCTTTTGTCAGGCTATTTAGTCAGGCTGTCTAGAGAATGTTTAGTCTTGATTCCTGACTGTTAAATGGTTAAGCTCCACACTTAATTTGCATTGAAGAATGACCTGTAGTCTAATTTAGCGCTAGGTTGGGAGTCTAACACTGAACTTAACTGCTATGTATCATTTATCACAAACCAAGTTGAGAGAGTATGTTTGTGTAGTCCATCTATCCATTTTTCTAGTTATCTAAAATTTATGATATGATTCTTGACCACATAACACTGGTGTACCTGGACCACATTTTTTGGTCCCCTTCTGTGCAAATGGATTTACTAATTTTATGTTGGCATTTTCCTTTTTAGTTTGAGAGTGACAATAAGCAATGACCCTGTAAAACTCATTGCTGTATATGGGAGGGTGTTTTTGAGGACTTTCCCGCATACATCTTATGAAGAAGACCCATGGGATAAATTCGATGTTTGTCCCAGGAAAAGTTGTATTTCTTCTGAGGAACTTTTTTTGCTTTTTAAAAAAATTTGTGCAGCGTGGACAATATAGCGGGACCCCATCTCCACAAAAATTTTTTTTAAAAATTAGCTAGGCATGGTGATGCCTGCCTGTAGTCCAGCTCCTCAGGAGGCTGAGGTGGGAGGATTGCTTGACCCCCATTGGAGGCTGCAGTGAGCTATGATTGTGCCACTCTACTCTAGCCTGGATGATGGGGGGAAACCCCATCTCAAAAAAAAATTTTTTTTGGATACTGTAAATAGGAAAGCCTGTTGTGTTTTGTTATTTGCATTGTCTTCCCAAGAGCTCCATGCCAAATTTGTGACGTATCTTTCCCAAGTATGTATGCCTTTACTCTGACTTCTTTTTATCTTAAGGCAGTATAGTTTTGGAATGCAGGCTCTGGAGTCAGACAGCCTGGGTTCAGATCTTGGCTCCACATTTACTAGGTGTGTTGAAATTGAGCAAGTTGGTTTATCTGTGTGAGCCTCAGTTTCCTTGTCTGTGAAATGGAATTAATAGTATCCTCATAAGGTTATAAAGATCACATAAGAATAATAGATGTAAGTACCCGTAACAGTTCTTGGCACATCTTGAGTACTAAATATTTTTTTCTACTTTCATATTCCCTTTGTTTCACTTTACTTTATAATAAGTACATAATATGAAATCAATTATTTTTTAATCTCCTTAAAATATTTCTTGGAACAGGCAGAGTAAGAATACGTAAATGATGAGTTCTTGGTACGTTGTATTTTATATCACTTAAAGTATTCACGACTGGTTGTGGTGGCTCACTTCTGTAATCCCAGCACTTTGGGAGGCTGAGGCGGGTGGATCATGAGGTCAGGAGTTTGAGACCAGCCTGGCCAATATGGTGAAACCCCGTTTCTACTAAAAATACAAAAATTAGCAGGGCGTGGTGGCGCACACCTGTAGTCCCAGCTGCTTGGGAGGCTGAGGCAGAAGAATCGCTTGAACCTGGGAGGTGGAGGTTGCAGTGAGCAGAGATCGCGCCACTGTACTCCAGCCTGGCGACAGAGTGAGATTCCGTTTCAAAAAAAAAAAAAACAAAAAATTTACAATTGCTTCTGAAATTACAGGGATTTAGGGCAATTAACTTTCATTCTCTTCCCTCTTCACCTCAAATACACATCACCAAACAAATTTTCTCTATTATTTGGGTAGGCGTGACTGGTTTTCTTAAGACTTTTTTGTTGCAACCTCTTAGGTTAAAAGTTTCACTATCATTTGAAATTGGTCACAAGACTAGGGAAGTGCTTTCATTATAGAACTATTTAATAAATAAGTTCCCCAGTTTGAAGAGCCAGACTTTTATGTGAGGTCAGGCCAGTTGAAGACATTTACAAAGAATTAGTTGTTTGTTATTGCTCTGTGAGTTGCAAGAATGGAAAAAAAATTCTTTCTTCAATACTTCCTTCCAGGCTGAGTCATCACTAGAGAGTGGGAAGGGCAGCAGCAGCAGAGAATCCAAACCCTAAAGCTGATATCACAAAGTACCATTTCTCCAAGTTGGGGGCTCAGAGGGGAGTCATCATGAGCGATGTTACCATTGTGAAAGAAGGTTGGGTTCAGAAGAGGGGTAAGTGCTCCGCAAACCAAAAATAATACGGTTGGTAAGAGTGCTAGCAGTGAGTGGTGTCTTAGAAGTTGATCTTTTTTCTGATACTGTTAAACTGTGTCATGCTATGTCTAGTAAGAGAGAAATGATATATTTAACGTGTGTTAGGAATTTGCTTGTTATTAAGGGATTTTTTTGTAATTCTTGATTTTGAGCATTTATAATCTAGTTAAGTTAGGTTTGACTTTCTGGTATGTTGTGTGTAGCGTGTTACAGAAAGTGTTGTATTTTTCTGTGGTGTCTACAGGTTCTGTAATCTGGAGAGATATCTTTAGAATCATTTAATATATGTAAAAGTACGATCCTATATGCATTTAATCACATGTAAATATATAAATAAGAGAATTAAGCCAGTTTGAATGGTTGTAGGGGAATGGCTTAAAGTAGAAAAGGGGAAAGGGTTCACCCGCAAACTCATGGATTAATCCCATAAATTTGGTAAGTAAAGTCCTGACGTAAAAGGCCAAATGAGGACAAGGATTTTTTGTGTGTGTATGTTTATGTTTAATTTCGTATTTTTATTTTTCATCATCTAGGTTTAATACACCTTGTTCACTCCTACTTTAGATAAATAACTTAAGCACATTATTATTTTTTATTATTAAAGGAAGAACCCTTCGATGTAAAGCGGTTTATCATCTGTGAGATCACCTGCTTATGTGGTCAATATATTTATTAGAAATTTAGAGTTTAGATTAGTTGCTAGGCAACTACTGTTTACCCACATGGCCACGTCGAGTAGGATGAGGACTGTTCCATTCTCAGAACCTTTTAGTTCCTGTATATCTACTTTATGGTTACAAGTTCCCTCCTAATATTGATTTTAATATTTTTTGAAGGTCTGTAGTAAATACCTATCCTGAAAAGCTGTTGTCATAGTTAAATGTGATTATGGATTATTTTTTAAATGAGCCTTATTAAGTCGTAACTTACATAATAAAATTAAGCAATGTAAAGTCATAATTTGATGAGTTTTGCCAGAGATACACAGTAGTGTAACAAACACTCTGAAAACGATATAGTGGTTATTTTCATTAACCCGAGAGGTTCCTTTGTTCTCCCTTGCAGCCCAGTCCTCATCCCTTAACCCTGGCAACCACTTTATCTGCTGTTACTATAATTTTGCTTTTCTAGAATTTCATATAAATGGAATCATGCAGTACATAGTTTTTTTATGGCTGATTTCTTTTACATAGCATAATACTGTTAATATTCATCCATGTCTTGTATATCATTAGCTTTTTTTTTATGGTTGAGTAGTAGTTCATGGTCTGGATATATCACAGTTTATCTGTTAATCACTTGTTGGACATTTGGGCTGCTTCTAGCTTTTGGTTAGTACGAATAAAGAGTCTGGACATTAGAGTGCATGTCTTTGTGTAATGTGTTTTCATTTGTCTTGGGTAATAACTTAGGAATGATATTGCTGGGTCATATGGTAAGTGTGTGTTTAACTTTATAAGAAGTATATGTTTAACAAACTGCCCAGCTGTTTTCCGATGTGCCTGACCATTTGTATTGTCAAGTGTAATTTCTTTCAATGTCATTCTCCTGTTATAAATTACGAAAGCATTTTCAGATTTCAGTGCTTTATAAAGGCTTTTTTGATTTACTTTTTAAACGTATTTATATTATTCTACTTTTTTTGGAGGGGGATGGCAAATCACTTGAACCTTTTTGAGTTTTACTTTACTAATCTCTAAAATCTGCTTTCACAAGATGGTTTTGAGGGTTAAATGAGATGATGGTTGTGGATTTATTTTGACAGTTCTAACACAATGTAAGCTGTTGCTATCTCCACATATTTATCAAAGGTTTAGGATGATTCTTTAGTCTGTTTAATTAATTATATCTTTGAAATACCATAATAGAAAGTATTTAGTCCATGGACTATAGAAAAAAAATGAATAAGAATTTGCCATCATTTTTCTAATAATGTGTATGTGTTTATTTTGAGATGTGTATGTGTATGTGTTTCTAATAATGTGTATGTGTTTATTTTGAGATGAATAGTTGCATAAACATAAAAATTTGAATAACACACAAAGGTATAAAATGAAAAATAAAAATCTCCCTATCTTTTCTACCTCCTTTGTCAGAGATAATCATTTTAGAACTTTTTTTCCTATTTTTAATTGTCTCATCATTATGCCAGTTTTTTATATAATATACTAAACTTTAACCTTCAGTAACCTAATATCTCCCCATTGTGAAAAATAGAAGGATTTAACTTTTAATACTGATCCTACCTTCTTCCTTTTATTTTTTGGTTGCCTTTATGATTAAACTTATAGCTGTTTAACAGTTAACTTTAGAGTGTTCAGACATTGTCTCTAAACTTGCCACTTTATAAGTTGTAAAAAAAAAAAAATTAGCTTTTCTCCTCATCTTTCCCTTGAATTCCTCACATTCCCTTTCCAGTTTTTCAACTGTAACATTTATTTTATATGTCAAGGTTTATAATAGTTATACTTGCTGATTCTGAAAAGCAGTTAAAATATTACATTATATAAATAATATGACTAAACAAAGTGGTATGATGAGATTCTTAGAGAGCAAATGGATTTATTTTATTTTACTTTAAGTTCTGGGATACATGTGCAGAACGTGCAGGTTTGTTACATAGGTATACATGTGCCATGGTGGTTTGCTGCACCTGTCAACCTGTCACCTAGGTTTTAAGCCCCCCATGCATTAGGTCCTCATGCTCTCCCTTACCTTGCCCCCCACCCCCAGCAGGCCCTGGTGTGTGATGTTCCCCTCCTTGTGTCCGTGTGTTCTCATTGGAGAACAAATGGATTTCTTACGCTCTCTTTGTACTCCAGAGCTGCCATACTTTAATTTGGTTTCTAGTTTGGACTGTGGCTATTTTTCCTGGATTTTCTTTATTTTTATTTTATTTTATTTTATTTTTTGAGACGGAGTCTCGTTCTGTCACCCAGGCTGGAATGCAGTGGCATGATCTCGGCTCACTGCAACCTCCGCCTCCCGTGTTCAAGTGATTCCCCTGCCTCAGCCTCCCGAGTAGCTGGGATGCCACCATGCCAGGCTAATTTTTTGTATTTTCAGTAGAGACGAGATTTCACCGTGTTAGCCAGGTTGGTGTCGATCTCCTGACTTCGTGATCTGCCTGCCTTGGCCTCCCAAAGTGCTGGGATTACAGGCGTGAGCCACCGCACCCGGACCTTTTCCTGTATTTTCTGTTTTTTTTTTTTTTTTGAGATGGAGTCATGTTCTCCGTCTCATCAACAACAACAACAAAAAATTGATATAATAAAGTTATAATATAGTTATTACTTTGAATATTAGTCTTTTTTCGTAAGACTATATGCATCAATTGTTGTTATCTCCAGATATAATCTGATTTGTACTTTTAATGTGAGTAAGTTGCTTTTCAGTAAATATCTTCTTGGAAAATAAAAAAAGGGCTGAAAGATAAATATTCATTATTACGTAGGATAAATGCTTTCCTAACCTTGGTTATTAGTGATATATTAATAGTGATATCCTATTTTTTACACTTTTCTGGACAGTTGAAAATGATAAGTATTAATTGAGATAACACATTACCATAGTATTGTTGGTGTTAGAAATGGCAATAAAAGAAACATCACAGAGCAAACATCAAGTAAAGTATTGTCTGCGTTTTCCTCCTTGATGGATCCAGGACAGCTCCTTACAACTTGGTTGCACATCAGCATAGGAGGCATCTCTGTATATATTAAATACTTACTAAATGATCTTACTCAAAGACGAGCCTGTAGGTATGTTCTAGGTGACTCTAAATCTCTAAATTGGATTTCAGCACTTCTCTTAATTTTTTCCCTTATAGCTAGTGGTAATATTTGCTATGAAGGTACTTAGTGTATTAATAAAGTAGGAAATTTAGCCAGTTTAAAAGGTCTAAATTATAGAATTAAATAAATTGCAATAGTATTAATTAAGGGCTTATTATAATTTATTAACTTTCATTTGCTTAATAAAATTTCATAAAAACCTAAGTAGTCTTTTATAAATGTGGAAAGCTAGTTCCTTGATAATAAGTTAAAATATAATGTATAACTAGTCAATTCATAATGTTACTGTTTTGAGATTGTCATAAATCTAAGAGGTGATTTTTATCATTAAAAGCATTTTGATGAAAATGTTCCATGCTCGTGTTACTTTATTCTACTTTTTGTATTAGTATCTAACAAACTGAACTTTCATGTTGTATTCTCTATGTGTAACCAGTTTTGGCTTTCAAATAACTTTTTCCCTTAGTTTTCTTTGTACTGACTTTGTCCTTTGAATAATATTTTTCTTATATTCCATGAAATGGTTTATTTAGATGAACTACAGTGTCGGTATTTGGTAATGCCAGGATAAAGATTTTGTGTCTATGAGTTGTCTCACAAGATAGCTTAATTCTGCTGAGCAAAATATACTTTAGCAACATAAAGATTGTGAACTTGGTTATGCTGTAAGATGTGATTCTTGTTATCTAGTCAAATTTAACAAGTTGTTACAGAAAACAATTTACATTTTTGAGTGTTTATCTAAGTCCAGGGGTCTTTTCTTCTCCTTTATTTTGTGCATGCATGTGTTTTTTTTTGTTCATTTTTTATTCACAAAATGACTTTAGAAATAAGTTATAAAATGATTAGGAGAAAGAAAATGACAGTATGATTTCCTGTTTACTACCCAGCAGCAAGCTTTTTCCATAGAGAGTAAAGAGCTGTGGTAGTGACTGTGTAAACCACATGGTACATTAGAGAAGCTCACTTTGACTGTTGAGGTTATACATGGAGAGTAAACATAAGAAAATTAAATTTATTTTCTAATGGTATTGAAACTCTGAGATTTAACTAATGTATTTACAATACTGTGAAATTAGCTTTTCTTAGAGTTTCAATGTATTATTTTTGAAAGTTTCAACCAATAGAACCACATGGAGCAAACCATCAAATAAGCTTTCATATACATTTTGAAGTTATTTATAGAATTGTAAAGTTGCTGTTACACACACACTTGCTCCTTCTCAATCAACAATCAAGTTTTATGTATTGATTTTGTAAGTTGAAGTCTCATGAAATTCACTTATTAATGTTAGTTTAAAGATTTTCTACATAGATGGTCAAGTTATCTGCGAACATCCACAGTTCTGCTTTTTCCTTTCCAATCTTTATGCCTCTGATTTCTTTTTCTGATCATATTTCACTGGATAGGACCTCCAGTACATTGTTGAATAAAAGTGGTAAGAGTGGATATTTTGCTTTATTGCTCATCTTATTGGGAAAGCATTTATTTTACCACTTAAGTATCACATTAGCTGTTCCTTTTCTGTTGCTGCCCTTTATCAGGTTGAAAAAATTCCCTACTATTCCTAGTTCGGAGAGTTTTTATCATGAGTGGTGGTCAGTTTTTTCTAAAGATTTTACTGCTTCTATTGAAATGGTCATTTGATTTTTTCCTTTTATTCTCTTAATATGGTGAATTACTTTCATTGCTGGAATAAATTCCATTTGGTCATGATGTATTTAAAAAAATATATTACCAATTTGGACTTACTGATATTTTGCTAAGGGTTTTTTGCATTTACAAGAGTATTGATCTGTAAATTTCTTTTCAGTTTTGATACAGTGGTTATGCTGGATTCATAAAATAGGTTGGGAAGCACTTGTTTCTCATAAGGTGGATTGTATTTTTTCTTCAGTGTTTGACAAAATGTATCAGTGAAGCCATGTGGGTTGGAGCTTTCTTTGTGGGAAGATTTTTGATGATAAATGAGATTTCTTTAGATACAAGGCTATCCATATTTTCTATTTCCTCTTGTGTCATTTTTGGTAAATTGTATTTTTTAAGGATTTCCTTTTCATCCAAGATGTTCGTCTAAGTTACTGGGTGCAAAGTTTTTAATATTCCCTTATCCTTATTTTTATTTTTTTAGTAGAGCCAAGATTTGCTCCATTGCCCAGGCTGACCTTGACGTCCTGGGCACAAGTGATCCTCCCACCTTGGCCTCCCCGAGTGCTGGGATTACAGGCTCCCTTATCTTTTGAATGTCTGTAAGATCTTAGCGATATCTCCTTATTAAATCCTGATATTGGTAAATTATATACTTGCTCTCTTTTTTCCTTTGATAATCTTGCTAGGAGTTTATTCATTTTATGAAATCTTTTTTTTTTTTTTTTTTGAGATGGAGTCTTGCTCTGTCACCAAGCTGGAGTGCAGTGGCGCAGTCTCAGCTCACTGCAACCTCCGCCTCCTGGATTCAAGTTGATTCTCCTGCCTCAGCCTCCTGAGTAGCTGGGATTTACAGTCATGTGCCACCATGCCCGGCTAATTTTCTACTTTTAGTAGAGACAGGGTTTCTCCATTTTGGTCAGGCTGGTCTTGAATTCCTGACCTCAGGTGATCCACCCGCCTTGGCCTTCCAAAGTGCTGGGATTACAGGCCTGAGCCACTGCACCCAGCCAACTTTTTAATGATTTTTTAAATGATCCATTATGTGGTCTTATCATTTGGTCTGTCTGTATTTTATTTTTTGGGGGTATAGTGTTATAAATATCTAGTCAAGATGATTGGTAATGGGTCATAGTCTTCTATGTCTTCACTGACTCGTTTTTTTTTTTTCCTCTAGTTCTGTGACTCAGTGTTATAGTCTCCAGCTATGATTGTGAATTTATCTGTTTCTCTCTTTAGTCCTACCTTTTTAATTTTATATATTTTGAAGCTCTATTATTAGAGGCTTTTTTGTTGTTATATCTTCTTGATGTATTGCTTCTTTTATCCTTATGAAATGTTCACCTTTTTCTCAAGTGACACTCTTTATCTTGGAATTCAGTTTGTGTGATATTAATATAGTAACTCCTGATTTTTTATGATTAGTGTTTGCATCTTGTATCTTTTCAACTGTCCTATTATATTTAGTCTTTGTTTTGTATTTAAACTGTTTCTCTCGTTGACAGCATATGTTTGGGTCGTGTCTTTTTTAAAAAATCTAATTTGACAATCTTTACCTTTTAAATGGGAGTTTTTAGGCCAGTCATATTTAATGTAATTATTGATATGATTGAGTTTTCTGTTTGTGTCATGTGTTCTTTGTATCTTTTCCCTATTTTTTTGCCTTTGTTAGGATTTAGTATCTTTTCAGTATCCTATTTTATCTCTCCTATTGGCTTGTTATTTATGTGTCTTATTTTAAAGCAATTTAAAAATTTATAGTTAATGTTATTGTTGGTGTGGTTGAACTTAGGCATACTGTTATTTTTTTAAAAAAATTCCTCTCTTCATACTTTCTTATCTTCTTTTGAGTTAATTGAATTTTTTTCAGTATATTCCACTAACAGTATGCATTCTCAACAGGAGTGGTAATTCTCCTATAGGGCAATCATAGGTTCTTGGAAAAGGGTACAGAATATCCTTTTATATTACAATTGTTTGTGGCTCTCCAATCACATTATATAAACAGATATATCTTTGGTATTAAAATTTCTTGGTGGGGACCGAAGTGATTTAGAGGGAGTTTTCTAAAGAGGCTCCTTAGGTGAGCCAAGGAAAAACCTTTGATAAACAGTTCTGTCATCATTTTAGCTTGCATTGCTTTTTTAGGTATTGTTCTAAGGTAGTGGAATACAGAATACATGTACAGGTTTGTTATATGGATAAATAACATGTTGTAGGGGTTTGGTATACAGATTATTTCGTCATTCAGGTAATAAACATAGTACCCTATAGGTAGTTTTAAGATCCTCACTTTCTCCCACTCTCCACCCTCAAAATACATCCTCAGTGTATACTCTCTAAAGTACAACCAGGGTGATTTTGGTCCCCAGAGGACATTTGGCAATGTCTGGAGACATGTTTGAAATGATGTGGGGGTGGGATTGCTACTGGCATCTAGTGGGTAGAGGCCAGATATGCTGCTGAATGTTCTATAATGGACGGAATAGTATCCCATGGCAAAAAAATTTCCAGTTCAAAATGTTAGTAGTGCTGAGGTTGAGGAACTCTATTCTTGAGATTACAATATTCATTCTTAATTTATTACAGTCTATGTAGGGTTAGTATTTTACTGCTCCATATAAAATATAAGACTCTTCCAATGCTATATTTATATTTGCCCCCACTTCTGAGAGTGCCTTGTGCTGTTGTTCTCCTGTATAGTATATCACCATGTTATAAACTCTGTTATAATGTTATATATTTTTTGCCTTATTCATACGTCTTTTGAAAAAGAGCAGGAAAAGTATGGTCATTTACACTTATATACCTATTTTCAGTTAAAAAATTTTTTTCCTATAGATTTCATTTTCTGTCTGATATTTTTTTTCACCTGAAGAACTTTTCCTTAGCTTTTTTTTTTAAACTTTTAGTTTCCAGAATACATTATTGGTTAGATGTTATATGGGTAAATTGCGTGTTGAGGGGGTTTGGTATACAGATTATTTCGTCATCCGGGTAATAAGCATAGTACCCTATAGGTAGTTTTAAGATCCTCACCTTTCTCCCACCCTCCACCCTCAAAATACACTCTCAGTGTATACTCTCTAAAGTACAGTGTGTACTCAAATGTGTACTCAATGTGTACACAAAGTACACCCTCAGCGTGTACTTGAAACATCGAGTATACATTGTCCATGTGTACTCAGTGTTTACCTCCCATTTACACGTGAGAACATGTAATATTTGGTTTTCTACTCCTTCATTAGTTTACTTAGGTAATACCCTCCAGCTCCATCCATGTTGCTGCAAAGGACATGATCTCATTCTTTTTTTATGGCTGCATAATATTCCATGGTGTGTATGTACCACATTTTCGTCTGCTGTTGATGAGCATTTAGGTTGATTCTGTGTCTTTTCTGTTGTCAGTAGTGCTGTGATGAACATATGTGTACATGTGTCTTTATGATACATGTATGATTTATATTCCTTTGGTCATATTTTCAATAATGGAATTGCTGGGTCTAATGGTAGTTCTGTTTTAAGTTCTTTGAGAAATTGCTGAACTGCTTTCCACAGCGGCTGAACTAATTTACATTCCCACCAGCTATCAAATTAGAATCCTGTACAATTTAAAAAATCCTTCAAAATGAAGATGAGCCCAGCCACAGTGGCTCAAATTAGAATCCAAACTATCAAATTAGAATCCTATATACAGTTTTAAAAATCGTATATGTGGCCGGCTAATTTTTAAATTATTTTTTTATAGAGATGGAGTCTCAATATGTTGTCCAGGCTGGTCTCAAACTCCTGGCCTCAAGCGATCCTCCCACCTTTTCCTCCCAAAGTGCTAGGATTGCAGGTGTGAGCCACTGTGGCTGGGCTCATCTTCATTTTTGAAGGATTTTTTAAATTGTATATAGGATTCTAATTTGATAATTGTGTTTTTTTTATCATTTTAAATATGTCATTTCATTTTCTTCTGGCTGCCATGGTTTCTGATGAAAAGTCACCTGTTGTTATTTTGACTTGCTGTTTCCTTATATAGTCATGTGCCATTGATATGGTTAGGCTTCGTGTCCCTACCCAAATCTCATCTTAAAAATTGTAATCCCTACGTGTCAAGGGAGAGACCAGGCGGAGGTAATTGAATCACGGGGGCAGTTTCCCCCATGCTGTTCTCGTGTTATCGAGTTCTCATGAGATCTGATGGTTTTATAAGGGGTTCTTCCCCTTTAACTCGGCCTTCCTGCCGCCCTGTGAAGAAGGTGCCTTCTTCCCCCTCACCTTATGCCATGATTGTAAGTTTCCTGAAGCCTCCCTAGCCATGCTGAACTATGAGTCAATTAAACTTCTTTCCTTTGTTAATTACCCAGTCTCTGGCAGGTTTTTTTTGTTTGTTTGTTTTTTGATATGGAGTCTTGCTCTATCACCCAGGCTGAAGTGCAGTGGTGTGATCTTGGCTCACTGCCACCTTTGCCTTTCAGGTACAAACAATTCTCCTGCCTCAGCCTCTGGGACTATAGGTGTGTGCCACTGTGCCTGGCTAATTTTTGTATTTTCATTAAGCGACGGGGTTTCACCATGTTGGCCAGGCTGGTCTCGAACTCCTGACCTCAGGTGATCCAGCCATCTCAGCCTCCCAAAGTGCTGGATTTACAGGTGTGAGCCACTGCGCCCGGCCTCAGGCAGTTCTTTATAGCAGTATGAAAATGGACAAATACAGCCATATAATGATGTTTTGGTCCATAACAGATTGCTAATGATGGTGGTCCCATAAGATTATAATACCATATTTTTACTGTACCTTTTCTATGTTTAGATATGTTTAGATACACTAATACTTAACATGTTTCAATTGCCTACAGTATTCAGTACAGTAACGTGCTGTACTGAGATCTCCCTCTCACTTTCCAGCTATTTTGGCAGCTCTGAACTCTGTCTCTTCAAACTAGTAAGACTTTCTGAGTTCTAGCCATTCCACTCTAGTTTCAAGGAATGGGAGAGCGCCTTGAGTAAAAAGCCACATCAGTGCGAATCTCATTTGTAGCTCCCTTCTTTACAGTCAGTTTCCTTCAATTTCTGCCTGCTTTTGCAGCTTTTCTACTGCCTTCAAATTGTCATTCTTTATATTTTATACAGAGTTTATAATTTTATATATAGAAGGGTTAGTCTGATACAAGTTACTATACTACTACTGGAAGTGAAATTTTGCTAGGTATGTGTTTTAATGTATAGATACACAAATTTATTTAAGCTTCATGATTCACATACTGCTGTATTCCAATTTAATTCTTAAATTATGAGGAGAAGAAGTTTGTGAGAAGTAGGAGTACAGTTTATAAAAATTTATCAGAAATTATGAGTACTACAAGTTATGAGGTGTATGAAACTAATAGTTTAAACCGAGTTTGAATCACTTATCTAGAAAGATAGCTTTTTCTTAAGCTCATATGTAGAATTTCAACCTAGAAGTGACTTTAAAAGTTATCTAGTCTTTTTTTTTTTTTTTTTTTTTTTTTTTAGTTTTAGGGATGAGTCTTTTTATGTTGCTCAGGCTGATCTCCAACTCCTGGCCTTCAGGAGTCCTCATGCCTCGGCCTCCCAAAATGTTGGGATTACAGGCAGGAGCCACTGTTGGTGGCCTCTCTAGTCTTATATCCATTCATCTGACAGATTTCAAAACTGAGGCCATATTTCAAGTTAGGTATAGAGCCAGGATTAGTACCTGAGATTTCTTTTTTGCTGATCTTAGATACTTCAGATTTTGTTTCTTTCTTGACGTTTAGGAATAGATTGAATTTCTTCAAAAAATATTTTGTATCTTGTTGGGGGGGAGGGGCTCAGAAGTTTTGGGTGGAAAGATTTAAAATCCTCTGAGTATGGAAAAGGGGGAGTATCTTCCGCCTTGTGGAATCCTCACACTGTGTGAGTAATATTATTCACTGCTCTACTTCCCAGTGGAGAATGCAGAGAAGCTGTACCTCTTGAACTTGTGTTTTCTCTCTTTGAGTAACTGTTTCCATAGTTTCTATACCCTTTGACATAGAGAAACTTTCTTTAGTTTGTGTTCGCATTTTATAATCAATCACATTACCTTTTGATGTGTGATAGCCCTGCACCTACCACTAATTTTCTGTGTTTTTGGTTATGCTAGTTTTTCGGCTTGGCATGTTTTTTCCCCTCTGTCTTTTTAAGTGAAAAATCTCCTGTGTCCTTCAAAGCCAAATTATTTACCCAGATCATGGTCTTACAAAATTAGAATGATTTCTTTTGTCTGTATAATATTGCAACAATTTCCTGTCTTGACCTCCTTATGACTTTCTATTGCCTTGTTATTACATAGATCTGTTATTTCTCCTTTCCATTGTAACCTCCTTGACAGCACTGTGTCTAATACAACTTTATATTTTGTACAGTTTGTAATTTTCCTTCTGAAATACAGTTCACCATTATTTTGAGCACGGTAGTCTCTTAATCAGTATGTGATACAAAAATGGGGAAGAAAATAATGATTCTAGAAGTTCAGATAACAGTATGTCACAGATATTAGGGCAAGGAACTAGAACTGGGACAGCTGAGGCAAGGTAGGAAACACAGACTAGATCACAGTTATGAAAGCAGCCTAATGTTCAGGAGAGAGTTTCGGTAAGGGCAGCACTGGAATTCTAGAACCATGTTGTATATCTGTCAAATTTTTGTGTAGCAAAACAGAACTGACAGGGTAGGAGTTGGTAGATTTGACTGAATGGTTATTCCTGACAAAGATAGTGGGTTGTACCCTGATTGTCCCAGAATGGACTAGTAAATAAGGTATCTAAATTAGGTAAGTAGAATAAAAGATTGGGAATATTGTAGTTTTTATGGTTTGGAAGATTAATGCGTATTTTAAGGGTAATTTTTGCTTTACTCTTAGAACGGTAAAGTACCTCTGATTTCATGAAACCTAACTTTCTAAGCCTATAAGAAGAATCTTTTCTACTGTGTTTCTAATGGATCACTTATCTTAGATATTGTGGGCAACTAAAGTTGCACTGTATCTGTTTCATTATTTAACAGCTCTGAGCACTGGTGGTCTTTGTTTGCCCTCCTGAGCAATATAAAACAAGTTCTGTTTTCCAGTTTATAGGCCTTCGGATTTTTCGAGATTGCTATCCTGTCTTCCCTAAAATCCCTCTTTCTAAGCAAAGTGCTCTCAATTCTTTATTATGTTTATAATTATTATAAGACACGGTTTGCAGCCCTCTCATACACGGTACAGTTGTCCCCCAGTATCCACGGGGGGTTGGTTCCAGGACTTCCTGGAGATAGCAAAATCTGCTGATGCTCAAATCCCTTACATAAAATGGTGTAGTATTTGCATACAACCTGCACACACCCTCCTGTATGCTTTAAATCATCTTTAAATTACTTACAATACCTAATCCACTGCAAATGCCATGTAAAGATTCTATGTAAGTGGTTGTTACACTGTCCTGTTTAGGGAATAATGACAAGAAAAAAGTCTGTAAGTGTTCAGTACAGATGATTTCTTTTTCCTGAATATTTTTGATCTGTGGTTGGTTGAATCCACAGATGGGAAACCCACAGATATGGAGGGCTGACTGTATTGGTATCTTACTGTGGAAATAGCTCAGTTTGTCAATGTTTCTCTTACAGCGTAGTGCCCAGAAGTGAATCTGTTACTGCAGATGTGATCGGTGCAGGGAAAAAGCACAGTGAGACTGTTAGCCTCTTCTCATAGTCTGTCACTGTAGGGGCCTTCGGTGCGATTAAAGGCTGTAGCCACTTTTTCTCAGTTTTACTCTTTAAGGGAACTTTTATTATGTTTTGATTATATAAATCATTTATAAAGTCAGTTTATTGTCCAGATGTTACCAGTTTACATTCCTAGCACTAATATGTGAAGGGTTCTACTTTCTTATACCGTAGCCATTGCTGGGTGTTACTCTTTCTAGTTTTTGCCATTGTATTGCTGTTTTATTTTACATTTCTTTGTTACTGAGGTTTAACGTTGCTTAAATGAATTATTATTCTTGTTCTTAGTTAAGTTTTAAATATGAGGCCTATCCTTAAACATGTATAAATTTTATGTTCTTATTTATTGGTAAGAGCTTTTTGTGTATTGAGAATACCTTTATTTGATTAATCTTTTTTGTTGTGAATATTTTTCTAGTTTGAATATACCTTTTAATGTTACGGTATATTTTTGCCTTGTAAAATTTTTTAGTTGTTAAGTAGTTTAATATGTCAGACTTTTCCCATTCAAGGAGACCATTGAGGTCATACTTACAAACTCTTCACCTTTTTCCTTTGAGCATCATTATGATGAAAACATTTTGTATTATCTAAGTAATATATTCTCCTTTAAAAGAGCCAAGCAGTAAATATATAGGGTATCGTGTGATTCCTTTCTTCCATATTCTTTCTCAGAAATAACCACTGCCAAGTATGTCATGCCAATATAAAGCTAAAATTTTTAAGAAGTACTTAAGAACTAGAAGAAAATGCCAAATTATAGGTAGTATTATCCCCTTGTCAAGAGATTCGGATTGAAGAGATTAGGCAGGGATAGGAAGGGGGATAATTAAGAAAATGAGACTTTTACACTTTATTCTGTGTAAACATTGCATCTTTCTGTTTTGCCTCACATTACATAAATGATACCGTAATCACTTACTATGTCTTGGAGATTTATCCATGCCATGGGAACCTGGAACTCGAAAAAAGTGACTAGTTTGACTTAACTTGCTCTTAGTGAATCTATTCTTACTTCTTGTCCATCTACAATTTCAAAGTACATCTGATGCTTGAAACAAGACTAGAGTTAGGGGCACAGACCACCTGCACGGTCAAAAATGCGCAAATCACTTTTGACTCCCTCACAACTTAACTACTAATAGCTTGCTGTTGACTGGAAGCCTCGCGGATAACATAAACAGTCCATTAACACACATTTTATATATAATGTACTGTATTTTTACAATGAAGTAAGAGAAAAAATGTTATTAAGAAAATGTATTATTTTTCATCAAGGGGAAGTGGATCATCATAAAGGTCTTCATCCTTGATGTCTTCAAGTCAAGTAGGCTGAGGAGGAAGAGAAAGGGTTGGTATTGCTATCTCAGGAGTGGCTGAGGCAGAAGAAGCAAATCCAGGTACAAGTGGAGTCATTCAGTTAAACCCATGTTATTAAGGGTCAGCTGTACCTATATATGTCATTTGAGTGTAATGGTTAAGAGGATGGGACTGAATTCCAAATCCTGGCTTTGCCATTTATTAGTGTCTGTGGGCACAATCCTTAATCTGTCTTAAATTTCTGGTCTGTAAAATGGAGATGATAAAAGTGCCTACTTTATATGGGTATAGGAATCCAAGCTCATAATGTGTGATTAGCTCTTATCAGACTGCATGGGACATATTAAATAGTAAATAACTATTTAATAATCTGTAGAATATTACTAGTTTGACATCAACTTTACTAATATTTAGTATTTAACTCACCCATTGTTTACTTCTATATAGACAGTCGGGATACTTGCCCTTTTAAGTTTTGTTGTTGTTGTTGTTGTTGTTGTTGTTGTTTTTAAAACATTCTTCAGATGCTTTTACATTGATCAAAAATCACTGATGCTGACCGGAACTCAAAGTGATAAGCTACTTGCTAACTATCAATATCAATGTTTTCATTATGATATTTCTCTTTGGAGAAGACCAGTGTAAAAGAGGAGTTGATCAGTATTCCTTTCCTGTCAACTGACCTTCATGTTGTACTCTCTTCCTCAGGCTTCATCTTTCTTAATTTAAAAATTCATGTTTGTCTGTAGTAATTACAAAAATTCATTATAGGATTTCCAAGTTCTAATAGTTGCTTTCTAGATTTGGTCTTCATTATGATACTGCTCCTATATTTTTCAACACTTTTTCTTAAATGAAATAGTACTAAAGCGACAAGTACGTACATACATTTTTTTCCTCTCACTCAGGATTGGGTAAGGCCAAATAGTCATATTTTAATTCTTTGGTTAAACTTTATGATTAAAAATGCTTGCTGTGTAAGAATACTAATTTCCTTATCTTACACAGTTAGGAGCTAAGACATTTCCATCTAAAATTCCTAGGTCAAGAAATAGAGGCTTAAGTGTATTTTTTTAATGTGGAATACAAACCAGTAGAAAAGCTAAAAATGAAAATGAAAGTAACAAAAATTGGGAAGAAAGGGCAGAGGGTATCTTAATTTCTCAATCTTTATAGTAAGAAGTCATTTGATGTGGTTAATAGGTGATAAATCAAGAAACATCCACAATGCCAAAAATATTAAAAGTGGCTGTTTATGAGAAGTGGAATGGAGAATGAGGTCTTGTGTATATGTGGTCCTGTGTGTATGGGAATGGTGGAAGAGATACTTTTATTTTTGAGTCTTACATGCTTTTATGTACTACTGAGTTATCACTTTCTACCTGTATTAGTTAATAAAACATCCTACAGGATTCCAGTTTATAAAGATAAAAGCATAGTTTTATATGTTGATATATGTATAAAAATGAATTGGATGGAAATATACCAAAATATAATAAGTGGTTATTTCTGGGTATTGAGTTTTTTTCCTTCCTTATATTATTTTGTATTTTGTAAAATTTCTGAAATGCATGTATTTTATTAATTTATATAAAAATTGTTAAGAGAAGTTATTTAGGACTTCCTAACATTTAATTTAATTTGTCCCGGGTTTAATTTGTTGTCACACTTACTTGGCATCAGAATGTTTGCTTTTTGTTTGTACAATTACTAGAACTTTTTTAAATTAAAGGAATTGTACATCATAGTCTTTGCATGCTTAGTAAGGTTGGCATTCTGCTGAAAATAACAGAAAACCTAGCCAACAGTAACAACAAAAAAGGACATTTTCTTTTTTTCCACTTAAGGGTATAGGTGGGCGGTTATAGTTAGCAGATCAGGATAGAATCATCAGAGATTGAAGCTATCTCTGGTTCATCACCGTTAGCTTGTTTGCTTTTCATATACTTGTTGCTTCAAGGTTTCAAGATGGCTGTAGTAATGGGCATTACATCTCTGTTCAAGGCAGTCAAATGGGAGATGGCTGGTGTCAGCCACACTGTCCCTTATATTAGGAATGCAAAAGCTTTCTCCGAAGCTCGCTATCAGACTTACTTTTCCAGAACTGGGTTATGTGCCACTCCTAGCTGTTAGAAGGTGAATATTTGGCTTTCAATTTCTGTAGCGGGAGATGGCAAGAGTAAAGGGGTTTGGTAATTGATGTTGTGTTAGACAACCAGCAGTCTGCTACAAAAAGTTTTGGCAAATGTAACTAATGTTTGTACTTCAGTTCTCAATCAGATACCCAGGAGAGACAGTAGCCTTTCTAGAGGTCAGATTGAAAATTTGACATACCAACATTCTCTAAAATTTACTCTTGTCGGGTATTATTCTGAAATGTAGCCATTTTGTCTGGTCCTAGGAGTACTAGGTTTATGCTCCTTTCTTTTTTTTTTCTTTTTTGAGATGAAGTCTCACTCTGTCGCCCAGGATGGAGTGCAGTGGTGCCATCTTGGCTCAGTGTAACCTTTGTCTCCCGGGTTCAAGTGATTCTCCTGCCTCAGCCTCCCAAGTAGCTGGGATTACAGGCACCTGCTACAACACCTGGCTAATTTTTGTATTTTTAGTAGAGATGGGGTTTCGCCATGTTGGCTAGGCTGACCTCGAACTCTTGACTTCAGGTGTTCTGCCTGCCTTGGCCTCCCAAAGTGCTGGGTTTACAGGTGTGAGCCACCGCACCTGGCTATGCTCCCTTCTTAAAAAAAAGATAGTTTTGGTATCCTGAAGTGATAATGAATTATGGGGTACGTTTGGTAAATTATTTCAATTAGTTTTATTCCCCTTGTAGAATCCAAATTCCTGTTTGTAGCCGGTAATCTGAGGATTGTGAATTTTTAATGTAACAAGTCAATTATATAAGGGTTTTCATTGTTGTTTTTAAGTTACAGTGTGCAATGAAACGGATAGTCACAGGTTTTACAGCTTATGACTCCACCTCTACCAACCCAAATAATGGTCAGCCAAAAATATCCAAATTACATAGTTTGAAGTATTAGGTGTTACAGTTACTTGGATTGTCTTAAAGCCACATATTTTAATGGTTATTATCCCTTATTTTCTTATTCCTCTGTCACTGACTCCTTTTAAAATACTTTATGATGCAGATTTGAATAGTTGTCATTGTGATTTTTTTAAGTTCTGGGATTCATGTGCAGGACATGCAGGTTTGTTACATAGGTAAACGTGTGCCATGGTGGTTTGCTGCACCTGTCAACCCATCATCTAGGTATTAAGCCCAACATGCATTAGCTATTTATCCTGATGCTCTTTCTCCCCTCATCCCTGACAGGCCACAGTGTGTGTTGTTCCACTCCCTGTGTCCATGTGTTCTCATTGTTCAGCTCCCACTTAGAAGTGAGAACATGTGGTATTTGGTTTTCTGTTCCTGTGTTAGTTTGCTGAGGATAATGGCTTCCAGCTCCATCCATGCTCCTGCAAAGGACGTGATCTTGTTCCTTTTTATGGCTATATAGTATTCCATGGTGTATATGTACCACATTTTCTTTATTCAGTCTATCATTGATGGGCATTTGGGTTGATTCCATGTCTTTGCTATCAGGAATAGTGCTGCAATGAACATACCTGCATGTATCTTTATCATAGATTGATTTATATTCCTTTGGATATATACCCAGTAATGGGATTGCTGGGTCAAATGGTATTTCTGGTTCTAGGTCTTTGAGGAATAGCCACACTATCTTCCACAATGGTTGAACTAATTTGCTTTCCCACCAATGGTGTAAAAGTGTTCCTCTTTCTCCACAGCCTCACTAGCATCTGTTGTTTCTTGACATTTTAATAATTGCCATTCTGACTGGTGTGAGGTGGTATCTCCTTGTGATTTTGATTTGAATTTCTTGAATGATCAGTGATATTGAGCTTTTTTTTTTCATGTTTGTTGGCTGCATGTATGCCTTCTTTTGAAAAGTGTCTGTTTATGTTCTTTGCCCACTTTCGAATGAAGTTTTTTTTGTCTTGAAAATTTGTTTAAGGTCTTTGTAGATTCTGAATATTAGCCCTTTGTCAGATGGATAGATTGCAAAAATTTTCTCCCTGTACATTGTCTGTTCACTCTGATGATAGTTTCTTTTGCTGTGCAGAAGCTCTTTAGTTTAATTAGATCCCAGTCGTCAATTTTTGCTTTTGTTGCAATTGGTTTTGACGTTTTCATCATGAAAAGTTTGCCCATGCCTGTGTCCTGAATGGAATTGCCTAGATTTTCTTCTAGAGTTTTTATAGTTTTGGGTTTTATGTTTAAGTCTTTAAATCTGTATTGAGTTAATTTTTGTATATGATGTAAGGAAGGGGCCCAGTTTCAATTTTCTGCATATGGCTAGCCAGTTCTCCTAGCACCATTTGTTAAATAGGGAATCCTTTCCCCATTGCTTGTTTTTGTCAGGTTTGTCAAAGATCAGATGGTTATAGACCTGTGGTCTTATATCTGAGATTTCTATTTTGTTCCGTTGGTCTATGTGTCTGTTTTGGTACCAGTACCATGCTGTTATGGTTTCTGTAGCCATGTAGTATAGTTTGAAGTCAGGTAGTGTGATGCCTCCAGCTTTGTTCTTTTTGCTTAGGATTTGTCTTGGCTATTCAGGCTCTTTTTTGGTTCCATATGAATTTTAAAGTAGTTTTTTCTTATTATGTGAGGAAAGTCAATGGTAGTTCAATGGGAATAGTATTGAATCTATAAATTATTTTAGGCAGTATGACCATTTTCACGATATTGATTCTTCTTATCCATGAGCATGGGATGTTTTTCCATTTGTTTGTGTCCTCTCTGATTTCCTTGAGTTCTCCTTGAAAAGGTCCTTCACTTCCCTTGTTAGCTCTATTCCTATGTATTTTGTTCTCTTTGTAGCAATTATGAATGGGAGTTCATTCATGATTTGGCTCTCTGCTTGTCTGTTGTTGGTGTATAGGAATGCTTGTGATTTTTACACATTGATTTTATATCCTGAGACTTTGCTGAAGTTGCTTATTAGCTTAAGAAGCTTTTGGGCTGAGATGATGGGATTTTCCAGATATAGGGTCATGTCATCTGCAAACAAGACAGTTTGACTTCCTCTCTTCCTGTTTGAATACACTTAATTTCTCTCGCATGATTGCCTTGGCCAGAACTTCCAATACTATGTTAAATAGGAATAGTGGGAGAGGGCATCCTTGTCTTGTGCCAGTTTTCAAGGGAAATGTTTCCAGCTTTTGCCCATTCAGTAAGATACTGGCTGTGATTTTATCATAAATGGCTTGTATTTGAGCTATGTTCCATAAATACCTAATTTATTGAGAGTTTTTAACATTAAGGGATGTTGAATTTTATTAAAGGCCTTTTCTGAGTCTTTTGAGATAATCATGTGGTTTTGTTTTTAGTTCTGTTGATGTAATGAATTATGTTTATTAATTTGCATATGTTGAACCAGCATTGCATCCTGGGAATGAAGCTGACTTGATCGTGGTGAGTAAGCTTTTTGATGTGCTGCTGGATTCACTTTGCCAGCGTTTTATTGAGGATTTTTGCATTAATGTTCATCAGGGATATTGGCTGAAGTTTTCTTTTTTTGTTTCATCTCTCCTGGGTTTTGGTGTCAGGTTGTTGCTGGCCTCATAAAATAAGTTAGGGAGAAGTCCCTCCTTTTCAATTGTTGGGAATAGTTTCAGAAGAAGTGATACTAGCTCCTCTTTGTACCTCTGGTAGAATTCAGCTGTAAATCCATCTGGTCCTGGGCTTTTTTTGGTTAGTATGCCATTTATTACTGCCTCAATTTCAGAACCTGTATTGGTCTATTCCTGGATTCAGCTTCTTCCTAGTTCAGTCTTGGGAGGGTGTATGTGTCCAGGAATTTATCCATTTCTTCTAGATTTTCTAGTTTATTTGCATAGAGGGGTTTATAGTATTCTCTGATGGTAGTTTGTGTTTCTGTGGGGTCAGTGGTGATGTCCCCTTTATCATTTTTTATTGAATCTATTTGATTCTTCTCTCTTTTCTTCTTTATTAATCTAGCTGGCGTTCTAGCTATTTTATTAATTTTTTAAAAAAACCAGCTCCTGGATTAGTTTTTTTTTTTTTTAAGGGTTTTTAGTGTCTCTCTCTCCTTCAGCTCTGCTCTGATCTTGGTTACTTCTTGTCTTCTGCTAGCTTTGTGGTTTGTTTGCTCTTGGTTCTCTAGTTCTTTTAGTTGTGATGTTAGGTTGTCAACTTGAGATCTTTCTAGTATTTTGATGTGGTCATTTAGTGCTATAAATTTCCCTCTTAACACTGCTTTAGCTACATCCCAGAGATTCTGGTACATTGTCTCTTTGTTTTCATTGATTTCAAGGAACTTCTTGATTTCTGCCTTAATTTCATTATTTACCCAGGAGTCATTCAGGAGCAAGTTATTCAATTTCCATGTAGTTGTGTGGTTTTGAGTGAGTTTCTTAATCTTGAGTTCTGATTTGATTGTGCTGTTGTCTGAGAGACTGTTAGGATTTCAGTTTTCCTGCATTTGCTTAGAAGTGTTTTACTTCCAATTACGTGATTGATTTTAGAGTATGTGCCATGTGGCACCAAGAAGAATGTATATTCTGTTGTCTTTGGGTGGAGAGTTCTACAGATATCTATCAGGTCCAGTTGATCCAGAGCTGAGTTCAGGTCCTGAATATCCTTGTTAATTTTCTGTCTTGATGATCTATCTAATATTGATGGTGGGGTGTTAAAGTCTCCCACTGTTATTATATGGGAGTCTTTGTCTCTTTGTAGGTCTCTAAGAACTTGTTTTATGAATCTTGATGCTCCTATATTGGATGCATATATATTTAGGATGGTTAGCTCTTGTTGATTTAATCCTTTTACCATTATGTAATGCCCTTCTTTGTCTTTTTTGATCTTTGTTGGTTTAAAGTCTGTTTTGTCAGAAACTAGGATTGCAACCTCTGCTTTTTACTGCTTTCCATTTGCTTGGTAAATTTTCCTCCACTCCTTTGTTTTGAGCTTATGTGTGTCTTTGCCCATGAGATGGGTCTCTTGAATACAGCACACTGATGGGTCTTGATTGTTTATGCAGCTAGCCATTCTGTGTCTTTTAATTGGGACATTTGGCCCATTTACATTTAAGGTTAATATTGTTATTTGTGAATTTGATTCTGTCATCATGATGTTAGCTGGTGGTTTTGCAGACGTGTTGATGTAGCTGCTTCATAGTGTCATTGGTCTTTGTATTTCAGTGTATTTTTGCAGTGGCTGGTAATGGTTTTTCCTTTTCATATTTAGTCTCCCTTTAGGAGCTCTTGCAAAGCAGGCCTGATAGTGGTGAATTCTCTCAGCATTTGCTTTTGTGAAAAGGATTTTATTTTTCCAAACTAAGCCTATGAAGCTTAGTTTGGCTGGACATGAAATTCTGGGTTGGAAATTTTTTTCTTAATGTTGTATATTGGTCCCCAATCTCTTTTAGCTTGTAGGGTTTCTGCTGAGAAGTCTGCTGTTTGTCTGATGGGCTTCCCTTGTAGGTGACCTGGCCTTTCTCTCTGGCTGCTTTTAACCTTTTTTCTTTGAGTTTTGACCTTGGAGAATCTGATGATTATGTGTCTTGGGGTTGATCTTCTCATGGAGTATCTTACTGGGGTTCTCTGGATTTCCTGGATTTGAATGTTGGTCTGTCTTACTAGGTTGGGGAAGTTCTCCTGGATGATATCCTGAAGTATATATTCCAACTTGGTTCCATTTTCCCCATCTCTTTCAGGTACCCTAATCAGTCATAGATTTGGTCTTCTTACATAATCCCATAGTTCTCAGAGGTTTTCTTTGTTCCTTTTCATTCCTTTTTCTCTAATCTTGGGAAGATAGTCTTCAAGCTCTGAAATTCTTTCCTCCACTTGGTCTCTTTGGCTATTTATACTTGTGGTTCCATTGTGAAGTTCTCGTGTTGTGTTTTTCAGTTCTATTGGGTCATTATGTTTCTCTCTAAACTGGTTATTCTGGTTGACAGCTCCTGTGATGTTTTATCATGGTTCATAGCTTCTTTGCATTGGGTTTGAACATGCTCCTTCAGCTCTGTGAAGTTTGTTATTACCCACCTTCTGAAGCCTACTTCTGTCAGTTCATCTAAGCGTTCGTCTAGTTGAGTGCCCTTGCTGGGGAGATGTTGTGATCATTTGGAGGAGAAGAGGCAGTCTGGCTTTTGGGGTTCTCAATGTTTTTTTCGTTGATTCTTTCTTATCTTCATGGGTTTATCCAGCTTCGATCTTTGAGGCTGCTGACCTTTAGATGGAATTTTTGTGGGGACTTTTTTGTTGATGCTGCTGTTGTTGCTTTCTGTTAGTTTCTCTTTTAACAGTTAGGGCTGGGTGTGGTGGCTTACGCCTGTAATCCCAGCACTTTGGGAGGCCGAGGCAGGTGGATCATGAGATCAGGAGATCGAGACCATCCTGGCTAACACAGTGAAACCCTGTCTCTACTAAAAAATACAAAAAATTAGCTGGGCGTGGTGGCATGCGCCTGTAGTCCCAGCTACTCAGGAGGCTGAGGCAGGAGAATTGCTCGAACCTGGGAGGCGGAGGTTGCAGTGAGCCAAGATCGTGCCACTGCACTCCAGCCTGGGTGACAGAGCAAGACCCCATCTCAAAACAAAACAAAAAAACAGGCCCCTCTCCCGTAGGGCTGCTGCAGTTTGCTGGGGGCCCGTTCCAGACCCTATGCGTTTGGATCCCTCCCACACCTGGAGATGTCACCAGAGGGGGCTGCAGAACAGCAAAGATGGCTGCCTACTCCTTCCTCTGTGATTTCTGTCCCAGAGGGGCACCGACCTGATGCCAGCAGGAATGCTCCTATATAAGGTGTCTGGCGACCCCTGTTGGGGGGGTCTCTCTCAGTCAGGAGGCACAAGATCCAGGACCTGCTTAATGAAATCGTCCAGCTGTCCCTTGGCGGAGGGGATGCACTGTGCTGGGGATTGTCACACTCCTCTGGACTACCTGGATTCCTCAGAGCCAGCAGGGAGAAAGACTTAAGTCTGCTGATCCACAGAGACAGCTACTGCCTCTCCCCGCAGGGGCTGAGTCCCAGGGAGAGCAGAGTTCCATTCCTAAACCCCTGCTGGAGTTGCTAAAATTCCTGCAGGGAGGCCCTGCCCAGTGAGGAGGGATGGGTCAGGATCTGGCCTGAAGAGGCAGTCTGGCCACAGTCTGCCACAGCCGCTGTCCTTGCTGTGGAGAATTTCTCCTGGGTCCAAACCGTCCAGTCTCCCTGGCACCAGCAGGGAAAAAACGGCCAACTGGAGCTACAGTGCTGGCTGCTGCCCCTCCGGAGCTCAGTCATCTTAGGCAGCAGGCAGCTGCAGTGATGGCTGCTCTCCCTTCCCTGGGGAGCTTAGTCGTCTTGGACAGCAGGCAGCCGCAGTGATGACGGTGGCCCCTTTCCCTGGGAATTCGGTAGTCTTAGGCATTCTCCAGTTGAGTGACCGCCAAACATCTGCACAGCTCTGCGCTTGGCACGCAAGGCCCTGGTGGCATCGGCTCATGAGGGTGATATCCTGACCTGACCCACGGGTTGCACAGATCTGTGGAAAAAACATGGTTTCCTGGGCAGGGTAGCACAGTCACTCACTGCCTCCCTTGGCTGAGGGTGGGAGCTCCCCTTTCTCCATTGTGGCTCCCATGTGGGCCATTGCATCACCCTTCTTTTCCTCACTCTCCATAGGTCGCGCCAACTGCCTAGTCAGTCCCATGGAGAGAACCTGGATATCTCAAAGTTGCTGGTGCAGGATTCACTGGCCTTTTTTGTTCTTGGTGGGAGCCTCTGGCCACAGCGATTTCTATTTGGCCATCTTGGCGCCTGTCATTGTGATTTTTATGGACTTCTGCATAACATATTGCTGAATAAAATTATCAAATTAGACTTGTTTAAAAAATTTAAGTCTTAATTGTTTTCATCAATTGTTGGGTAAACTTTATGTTAAGTTTTCTTACCAGTTAGAGATACTATATTTATTCAACACCAAGCCATTTTTTCTTAGTCCAAAAAAGTGTTATTGCCTTATACTTTTGAGGAGTAAAAAATTGTTCTTGTAAATGAGCATGTTTGTATCTAGTTTTTGGACAAACTAATTTCTTTATTTACTTCTAGCGAAATATGTGCCAGAAACTGGGATGTGTGAGATACTGAGATGAAGAAACACTTGCCCTCATGGAGTCTAGAGTCTAGTGGGGAAAAAAGACTTCAAGATGAGTCAGTTTCCTCATTGATAAAATGGGGGTAATAGTACCTATCTACCTCATGAAGGTTATTGTGAGGATTAACTGAGTTAAATTATGTAATAATGACTTAGAATTTTGCCAGGTACATAGTAAGTGTTCCATAAATGTTGGCTGCTGTTATTATTTCTGCAAAATCGAGATTTGTATAAAGTGCTGTGGAAGTGCAGACTAAGCAGGGGTTGACTTTCTAGAAAGTTAGGGGAGTGATCCAGTTTTAATCTGCTCTCAATCCTACTTCGTAGTTTCCTTGTGCATAGTAAGTCCTCAAAAACTGTTGAATGAATGAATGAAGCAAAGAATGAGAATATACTTACCTAAGTGGGATTGTTAAGACAGCTTCTTTAAACATCTTAAAATAGATGTCAATAAAATTTGAAGATGCAATATTACAATTTAGCATTTATCTTCCATGCCTGAGTTAATTCATGGATAGAATTCAGAATATTTTTTCAAGTAAGTAAATAATGGAAGATAGTTTAAGAAATTAAAAAGCTATTACTTTCAGCCAGGTTTTTGAAACAAGCTGGGTTTTCAGACTGTTTGTTTGTTTGCTTATTTATTTATTTGAGACAGAGTCTCACTCTATCACCCATCTGGAGTGCAGTGGCACGATCTTGGCTCACTGCAACCTCTGCCTTCTAGGTTAAGCAATTCTCCTGTCTCAGCCTCCTCAGTAGCTGGGACTACAGGCATGTGCCACCACGCCTGGCTAATTTTTGCATGTTTAGTAGAGATGGGGTTTCACCATGTTGGCCAGGCTGGTCACAAACTCCTGACCTCAAGTGATTCGCCCACCTCAGTTTCCCAAAGTGCTGGGATTACAGGCGTGAGCCACCACGCCTGGCCTCAAACAGTTTAAAATATTATTTTCTAGCAGGGTCTTGAAATACAAGTATCTTATACTACAGACTACAGATATTATTCATATATTTTGGCAGTGTCGTGTTGTTGTAGATCATTATAGCTACATCAGTTACCAATGCTGTGTAATGGACTACCCCAATGTTTATTGCCTTAAAACAACAATTTATCTTTTTTTCATGATTCTGTGGTTTGAGTCCATGGTTCTCTTGGAGATGTCACCTAGAGTCATTCCTATGGGTGCACTTAGAAGGGTAGCTGCACTGAACTAAAAGATGGTAGAATGGTTTATTCCTGTATTTGGGTCCTTGGTGCTTGAATGTTGGCTCAGAGTGCCTCAGTTCGCCTCCATGTTGCCTCTCTCTAGCAGGTCATCCTGGATTACTTTAGAGCATGTTACTAACTTCTAAGAATGGAAGCCACCAGTTCTTCTAAAGACTAGTTGCAGAAGTGGCAGATCATTGTTCCAATACATTTTACTCGTGCAACAAGTCACAAGATTCACCAGCTCAGATTCAAGAGGAGGGGAAATGGAGTCCATTTCCTCATAGGAAGAATGATAAGGAATTTATGGCCTCCTGTAATCCACCATGGTAGCATAGCACCTTATTATCTTTGATTAGACATTTGTAGCCTATCCTCCTTATCTGCCCTTTCTCCCTTTATAAGTTTTATGTTTTATCTTTTTTCCCTTAATTTTCCATGAATGTTTGTAGTTTGTCTTCTGTTTCACTGATTCAGATTTCTATTCTCTTGATAGAAACTATTTCTTTCTACGGTGGATTTTTGTTCTGCCTTTGTGTTGTTTTACTTTGCCTGTATGCTTTTCTTATCTTTTCTAGTTTACTAGTCATGTATCCTACATTTTAGATGCCTTTTCTTGATATCATTTAATTTTAACTTTATGTAATCTATTTAAAAATTTTTCTCAGAATATAAATAATAGTTGCAGTAGTAGAACTAAAGGTAGTGTCAGAAACAGTAGGGTGGTGCCTACCATGTTATGTTAGTGACCCTGTGTCTTTGGTTTAGGGATCTAGTGGAACATGACCAGCTATCCCCTTTTGCCTGAGATACCCTCAGCTTTTGATCATCACTACTGAGTTTTTACATGTTTTAGTGAAACTATGAATTACTCAAATGTTGTGATTTAAAATGTGGAAGATAAGCTGTTGATATGCTAGTTCAAAAAGCAATTCAAACTGCTATGTGACCTAGAAAAACACCATCTTGACTCATCTAAAGGTGGAATGGCCATTAAGCTGCTATTCCCACCAGAAATGGAATTATAAGCCAAAAACTATCATGAACTTTTCCATCATATGAGCAAGCCATAGTAGAAACCAAGTAGGGTCTTCTGATGACTACATCCCTGGCTAACATATTGTCTGCAATTTCATGACAGACCCTGGTGCAGAACCACCTAGCTAAGTCACTCCTTTCCCACAGAAACTGTATAATAAAACCTTATTGTATTGAAAATACTAATTTTGGGGGTAATTATAGCAATAGATAATAGAGATTTTGAGCAGGGCACGGTGGCACACAGCTGTAATCCCAGCACTTTGGGAGGCTGAGGTGGGTGGATCACTTGAGCTCAGGAGTTCGAGATCAGCCTGGGCAAGATGGTGAAACCTCATCTCTACAACAACAACAACAACAACAACTAGCTGGGTGTGGTGGTGCACACCTGTGGTCCCAGCTACTTGGGAGACTGAGGTGGGAGGATCGCTATCTCTAAGTTCTTGAGCCTGGGAGGTGGGGGTTGCAGTGAGCTAAGATTGTGCTAAAAGTGACAGAATGAGATCCTGCCAAAAAAAAAAAAAAGCAATATAGATTTTGGTATCAGAGTGGTTTTGTTTTGTTGTAACAAAAATGTAGTACTGTCTTTTGAATTTGGAACTGGCTACAAGCTTGAAGGATTTTGAAACATTAGTGAAAGCATGTAGAGCCTTGAGTTGACTGTTAGTAGAAGTTTGAGTAGAAGTAGAAGCCTTTGAGAAGGCTTTGCTCGAGGGCTTAAAGGAAAGTGAGAAAAATATTAACGGAAACACGAGGAAAGGGGATCCTTGTTCTGTGGTGGCAGAAAGTTTAGCAACTCTGTCATGTGCAATAAGATGGAAAATAGAAAAATGTAACCTATGAATGAAGTGATCTAGCTAAGGAGATTTCTTATCAGAATGTTGAAGAAGCTACCTGGTTTCTTCTTGCTACTTATGTATAAAATGTAAAAGGAGAGAGATAAGCAAAATGAAATACTATTAAAGAAAAAAGAGCAGGGAACTGTAGGGCTTGAAAATTCCCAGCCTCTTCGTATGATCATTGATACTAAAATTAAGAAATGGGTTCTAGAAAAGATCCAATCTAGGACCCTCATGGGAAAACTTGATCTACAGATCAAGCTGAAGATGTGACTTTAATGTCCTTTAAGACCTTAGAAATATCCAGGTGTTTTGAAGTTGTGACTTTAAAGTCCTTTAAGATCTTAGAAAGATCCAAAGTGTTGCCTCAAAACACCTGCTGGATTTCAGAATTGCTATGGGTCAGTGACTCCCACACACCTCCTAATTGTCCTTTGTTTGAACAGGAGTGCTGATCGTAGTTTTGCTATGCCTTATGCATCACTGGTCTTGAATTCCTGACCCAACAGAAACTGTGAGATCATAAAGGCTTATTGTTATTTTAAAGTGCTAAGTTTTGTGGTAATCTGTTATGCAGTGATAGATAGCTAATGGAGTGACAGTTAAGTTGAATTTGGGAGGCTGATAAGATGGCAGCCTGGCAACAGAGGCAGGTAGTGGGGTTGGGGGAGAACATTTGATGCAGAGTAAAAATAAGATTTGTGATTCCAAAGGTCATGAATTGTTAGGATCATGGGATGACTGTGTATCATTGGAAGATGTAAGCTCAAGAATATTCATGAATATGTGTTCTATTAAACATTGGTAAGAAGAGTTTTCTGACCAATAATTATTTCTAGGAACTACAAAATTTTATATGTAGAATGAGGAAGAATTTTTTCCATTTGTTTTATTCTTAGATTGTAAAGTTATGTTTTTATAGCTTATATTCTCAGGTTAGTTTATTTATATTGTAAAAGTATTTAAAATAAATGTTAGATATAATAGGGTTCTATACTTAATCTAAACTAAATCTCTTCAAGATAAGCCCCTCTATCAATTTACTAATGTTTACAGTGATTGGAAAGAAGAGAATATTACTTTCCCTTTTAACTTTTTATTTTGAAGATTTAAAAATATATAGAAAAGCTGAATGTATTGTGTTCATGAGCACAAAAATATCCTTAACATTTTGTCACATTTGCTTTACATATATTTAAAAATTTTATTTTGTGACCTGATCTCACTCTGTTGCTTAGGCTGGAGTGGATCAAAGCTTGGTGCAGCCTCTAACTCCTGGGCTCAAGCAATCCTCCTGAATGAGCCTCCCAGGTAGCTGGGACTACAGGTGTGCACCACCACCTGGCTAATGTTTTAATTTTTAAGAGTTGGGGTCTCACTAGATTGTCCAGGCTAATCTTGACCTCCTGGGCTCAAGTGATCCTCCTGCCTTGGCCTCCAAAAATGCTGGGAATACAGGTGTGAGTCACTGTGCCCAGTCCATATACTCTTTAAAATTTTTAATTGAATCATTTGAATGGAAGCTGTAGATATCACTTTATCTCTAAGTTCTTCTAGCATGAATTTCCAAGGTTAGGCTATTCATAATCACAGTATCATTAACACAACTAAGAAAAATCATATTTCATAATTATGCCTAATATGGTAGTCCATAAAAGTTTATAAATTTTTTAAAATCCAGGGTCCTTACACTATATTTGGTTATGTCACCTGAGACTGTTTTATTCTAGAAAATAAAAATCTAACGTTATATTGCTTTCTATGACACTGATTCTAATTTTTTTTTTATTATGTACTTTTTTTCTTTTTTTTTTATTTCCATAGGCGTTTGGGGAACAGGTGGTATTTGGTTACACAAGTAAGCTCTTTAGTGGTGACTTACGAGATTTTGGTACACCCATCACCCAAGCAATATACACTGAACCCAATTTTGATTCTAATTTTTTTGAGGGTTTTATATCACTTGTTTTGTGAATATCCCACATTCTGAATTTGTCCAGCTTTTCCTCATTGTTAGATTCAGGTTGAACCTTTTTTGGTGAGAATACTGCATACATGATACATACTTAATCAAGAAGGTGACTGCTGGATCTCTTCACTGTAAAGATATATTTTTCTCTTTTTTTTTATACTTTAAGTTCTAGGGTACATGTGCACAACGTGCAGGTTTGTTACATATGTATACATGTGCCATGTTGGTGTGCTGCACCCATTAACTCGTCATTTACATTAGATATATCTCCTAATGCTATCCCTCCCCCCTCCCCCCACCCCACAACAGGCCCCGGTGTGTGATGTCCCCCTTCCTATGTCCAAGTGTTCTCACTGTTCAGTTCCCACCTATGCCACCTATGAGTGAGAACATGCGATGTTTGGTTTTTTGTGCTTGCGATAGTTTGCTGAGAATGATGGTTTCCAGCTTCATCCATGTCCCTACAAAGGACATGAACTCATCATTTTTATGGCTGCATAGTATTCCATGGTATATATATGCCACATTTTCTTAATCCAATCTATCATTGTTGGACATTTGGGTTGGTTCCAGGTCTTTGCTATTGTGAATAGTGTCGCAATAAACATACGTGTGCATGTGTCTTTATAGCAGCATGATTTATAATCCTTTGGGTATGTACCCACTAATGGGATGGCTGGGTCAAATGGTATTTCTAGTTCTAGATCCCTGAGGAATCGCCACACTGTCTTCCACAATGGTTGAACCAGTTTACAGTGCCACCAACAGTGTAAAAGTGTTATTTCTCCACTTCCTCTCCAGCACCTGTTGTTTCCTGACTTTTTAATGATCGCCATTCTAACTGGTGTGAGATGGTATCACATTGTGATTTTGATTTGCATTTCTCTGATGGCCAGTGATGATGAGCATTTTTTCATGTGTCTCTTGGCTGCATAAATGTCTTCTTTTGAGAAGTGTCTGTTCATATCCTTCACCCACTTGTTGATGGGGTTGTTTGTTTTTTTCTTGTAAATTTGTTTGAGTTCTTTGTAGATTCTGGATATTAACCCTTTGTCAGATGAGTAGATTGCAAAAATTTTCTGCCATTCTGTAGGTTGGCTGTTCACTCTGATGGTAGTTTCTTTTGCTGTGCAGAAGCTCTTTAGTTTAATTAGATCCCATTTGTTAATTTTGGCTTTTGTTGCCATTGCTTTTGGTGTTTTAGACATGAAGTCCTTGCCCGTGCCTATGTCCTGAATGGTATTGCCCAGGTTTTCTTCTAGGGTTTTTATGGTTTTAGGTCTAACATTTAAGTCTTTAATCCATCTTGAATTAATTTTTGTATAAGATGTAAGGAAGGGATCCAGTTTCAGCTTTCTACATATGGTTAGCCAGTTTTCCCAGCACCATTTATTAAATAGGGAATCCTTTCCCCATTGCTTGTTTTTGTCAGGTTTGTCAAAGATCAGATGGTTGTAGACGTGTGGTATTATTTCTGAGGGCTCTGTTCTGTTCCATTGGTCTGTATCTCTGTTTTGGTACCAGTACCATGCTGTTTTGGTTACTGTAGCCTTGTAGTATAATTTGAAGACAGGTAGTATGATGCCTCCAGCTTTTTTCTTTTGGCTTAGGATTGACTTGGCAATGCAGGCTCTTTTTTGGTTCCATATGTACTTTAAAGTAGTTTTTTCCAATTCTGTAAAGAAAGTCATTGGTAGCTTGATGGGGATGGCATTGAATCTATAAATTACCTTGGGCAGTATGGCCATTTTCACAATATTGATTCTTCCTATCCATGAGCATGGAATGTTCTTCCATTTGTTTGTATTCTCTCTTATTTCGTTGAGCAGTGGTTTGTAGTTCTCCTTGAAGGAGGTCCTTCACATCCCTTGTAAGTTGGATTCCTAGGTATTTTATTCTCTTTGAAGCAATCGTGAATGGGAGTTCACTCATAATTTGGCTGTTTGTCTATTATTGGTATATAAGAATGCTTGTGATTTTGGCACATGGATTTTGTATCCTGAGACTTTGCTGAAGTTACTTATCAGCTTAAGGAGGTTTTGGGCTGAGACCATGGGGTTTTCTAGATATACAATCATGTCATCTGCAAATAGGGACAATTTGACTTCCTCTTTTCCTAACTGAATACCCTTTATTTCTTTCTCCTGCCTGATTGCCCCGGCTAGAACTTCCAACACTATGTTGAATAGGAGTGGTGAGAGAGGGCATCCCTGTCTTGTGCCAGTTTTCAAAGGGAATGCTTCCAGTTTTTGCCCATTCAGTATGATATTGGCTGTGGGTTTCTCATAAATAGCTCTTATTATTTTGAGATACGTCCCATCAATACCTAATTTATTGAGAGTTTTTAGCATGAAGGGCTGTTGAATTTTATCAAAGGCCTTTTCTGCATCTATTGAGATAATCATGGTTTTTGTCGTTGTTCTGTTTATATGCTGGATTACTTTATTGATTTGCATATGTTGAACCAGCCTTGCATCCCAGGGATGAAGCCCACTTGATCATGGTGGATAAGCTTTTTAATGTGCTGCTGGATTTGGTTTGCCAGTATTTTATTGAGGATTTTTGCATCGATGTTCATCAGGGATGTTGGTCTAAAATTCTCTTTTTTTTGTTGTGTCTCTGCCAGGCTTTGGTATCAGGATGATGCTGGCCTCATAAAATGAGTTAGGGAGGATTCCCTCTTTTTCTATTGATTGGGATAGTTTCAGAAGAAATGGTGCCAGCTCTTCCTTGTACCTCTGGTAGAATTCGGCTGTGAATCCGTCTGGTCCTGGACTTTTTTTGGTTGGTAAGCTATTAATTATTGCCTCAATTTCAGAGCCTGTTATTGGTCCTTTCAGAGATTCAACTTCTTCCTGGTTTAGTCTTGGGGGAGTGTATGTGTCGAGGAATTTATCCGTTTCTTCTAGATTTTCTAGTTTATTTGCATAGAGGTGTTTATAGTATTCTCTGATAGTAGTTTGTATTTCTGTGAGATCGGTGGTGATATCTCCTTTATCATGTTTTATTGTGTCTATTTGATTCTTCTCTCTTTTCTTCTTTATTAGTCTTGCTAGTGGTCTAACAATTTTGTTGATCTTTTCAAAAAACCATCTCCTGGATTCACTGATTTTTTGAAGGGTTTTTTATGTCTCTATCTCCTTCAGTTCTGCTCTCATCTTAGTTATTTTGTTGCCTTCTGCTAGCTTTTGAATGTGTTTGCTCTTGCTTCTCTAGTTCTTTTAATTGTGATGTCAGTTTTGGATCTTTCCTGCTTTCTCTTGTGGGCATTTAGTGCTATAAATTTCCCTCTACACGCTGCTTTGAATGTGTCCCAGAGATTCTGGTATGTTGTGTCTTTGTTCTCTTGGTTTCAAAGAACATCTTTATTTCTGCCTTCATTTCGTTATGTACCCAGTAGTCATTCAGGAGCAGGTTGTTCAGTTTCCATGTAGTTGTGTGATTTTGAGTGAGTTTCTTAATCCTGAGTTCTAGTTTGGTTGCACTGTGGTCTGAGAAACAGTTTGTTATAATTTCTGTTCTTTTACATTTGCTGAGGAGTGCTTTACTTCCAAGTATGTGGTCAATTTTGGAATAAGTGTAGTGTGGTGCTGAGAAGAATGTATAATCTGTTGATTTGGGGTGGAGAGTTCTCTAGATGTCTATTAGGTCTGCTTGGTGCAGCGCTGAGTTTAATTCCTGGATATCCTTGTTAACTTTCTGTCTTGTTGATCTGTCTAATGTTGACAGTGGGGTGTTAAACTCTCCCATTATTATTGTGTGGGAGTCTAAGTCTCTTTGTAGGTCTCTAAGGTCTTGCTTTATGAATGTGGGTGCTCCTGTATTGGGTGCATATATATTTAGGATAGTTAGCTCTTCTTGTTGAATTGATCCCTTTACCATTATGTAATGGCCTTGTTTGTCTCTTTTGATCTTTATTGGTTTAAAGTCTGTTTTATCAGAGACTAGGATTGCAGCCCTTGCCTTTTTTTTGTTTTCCATTTGCTTGGTAGATCTTCCTCCATCCCTTTATTTTGAGCCTATGTGTGTCTCCGCACATGAGATGGGTTTCCTGAATACAGCACACTGATGGGTCTTGACTGTTTATCCAATTTGCCAGTCTGTGTCTTTTAATTGGAGCATTTAGCCCATTTACATTTAAGGTTAATATTGTTGTGTGTGAATTTGATCCTGTCATTATGATGTTAGCTGGTTATTTTGCTCGTTAGTTGATACAGTTTCTTCCTAGCATTGATGGTCTTTACAATTTGGCATGTTTTTGCAGTGGCTGGTACTGGTTGTTCCTTTCCATGTTTAGCGCCTCCTTCAGGAGCTCTTTTAGGGCAGACCTGGTGGTGACAAAATCTCTCAGCATTTACTTGTCTGTAAAGTATTTTATTTCTCCTTCACTTACGAAGCTTAGTTTGGCTGGATGTGAAATTCTGGATTGAAAATTCTTTTCTTTAAGTATGTTGAATATTGGCCCCCACACTCTTCTGGCTTACAGAGTTTCTGCCGAGAGATCAGCTGTTAGTCTGATGGGCTTCCCTTTTGTGGGTAACCCGACCTTTCTCTCTGGCTGCCCTTAACATTTTTCCCTTCATTTCAACTTTGGCGAATCTGACAATTATGTGTCTTGGAGTTGCTCTTCTTGAGGAGTATCTTTGTGGCGTTTTCTGTATTTCCTGAATCTGAATGTTGGCCTGCCTTGCTGGATTGGGGAAGTTCTCCTGGATAATATCCTGTAGAGTGTTTTCCAACTTGGTTCCATTCTCCCTGTCACTTTCAGGTGCACCAATCAGACGTAGATTTGGTCTTTTCACATAGTCCCATATTTCTTGGAAGCTTTGTTCATTTCTTTTTATTCTTTTTTCTCTAAACTTCTCTTCTCGCTTCATTTCATTCATTTGATCTTCCATCACTGATACCCTTTCTTCCAGTTGATCGAATCGGCTACTGAAGCTTGTGCATTCGTCACGTAGTTCTCGTGCCATGGTTTTCAGCTCCATCAGGTCCTTTAAGGACTTCTCTGCATTGGTTATTCTAGTTAGCCATTCATCTAATCTTTTTTCAAGGTTTTTAACTTCTTTGTGTTGGGTTCCAACTTCCTCCTTTAGCTCTGAGAAGTTTGATTGTCTGAAGCCTTCTGCTCTCAACTCGTCAAAGTCATCCTCCTTCCAGCTTTGTTCCGTTCCTGGTGAGGAGCTGCGTTCCTTTGGAGGAGGAGAGGTGCTCTGATTTTTAGAATTTTCAGTTTTTCTGCTCTTTTTTTCCTATCTTTGTGGTTTTATCTGCCTTTGGTCTTTGATGATGGTGACGTACAGATGGGTTTTTGGTGTGGATGTCTTTCTATTTGTTAGTTTTCCTTCTAACAGTCAGGACCCTCAGCTGCAGGTCTGTTGGAGTTTGCTGGAGGTCCACTTCAGACACTGTTTGCCTGGGTATCATTAGCAGAGGCTGCAGAACAGCAAATATTGGTGAACAGCAAATGTTGCTGCCTGATTGTTCCTCTGGAAGTTTCGTCTCAGAGGGGTGCCCGGCCGTGTGAGGTGTCAGTCTGCCCCTACTGGGGGTTGCCTCCCAGTTAGGCTACTCGGGGGTCAGGGACCCACTTGAGGAGGCAGTCTGTCTGTTCTCAGATCTCAAGCTCTGTGCTGGGAGAACCACTACTGTCTTCCAAGCTGTCAGACAGGGACATTTAAGTCTGCAGAGGTCTCTGCTGCCTTTTGTTTGGCTATGCCTTGCCCCCAGAGGTGGAGTCTACAGAGGCAGGCAGGTCTCCTTTAGTTGTGGTGGGCTCCACCCAGTTCGAGCTTCCCGGCTGCTTTGTTTACCTACTCAAGCCTCAGCAATGGCGGGCGCCCCTCCCTCAGCCTTGCTGCCGCGTTGCAGTTTGATCTCAGACTGCTGTGCTAGCAACGAGCGAGGCTCTGTGGGCATAGGACCCTCCGAGCCAGGCATGGGATATAATCTCCTGGTGTGCCGTTTGCTAAGTCCGTTGGAAAAGCGCAGTATTAGGGTGGGAGTGACCCGATTTTCCAGGTGCTGTTTGTCACCCCTTCACTTGGCTAGGAAAGGGAATTCCCTGACGCCTTGTGCTTCCCGGGTGAGGTGATGCCTCACCCTGCTTTGGCTCACGCTTGGTGCACTGCACCCCCTGTCCTGCACCCACTGTCCGACAATCCCCATTGAGATGAACCTGGTACCTCATTTGGAAATGCAGAAATCACCCGTCTTCTGTGTCGCTCACACTGGGATCTGTAGACTGTAGCTTTTCCTATTCGGCCATCTTGGAACTGCTCCCTATTTTTCTCATTTATAAATCTGTGGGATGATTGTTCCCAATAGCCTTTTACCTCCATTGATGATATTGCCTGAATCAGTTTTTACGTTATGAATTATAGGGAAATTGCTTTTTAATGGCCATATGTAATCCATATTTGAGATCCATATTTGCAAGGAAAGATGCATTACTACCACTGAAAGAACCCACTCTTGCCTTTTCTTTTTAAAAGTTAATATATTATTTGGATCATGGATTTGAAGGTATTTGAGTTCCATGTATGCATATTTTCCTTAATGAGTAATTTTGAAAAACTGATTTAATTTAAAACAATAAGTTAATGACAGATCTCTCAGATAGTTTTAGAACTCCTAACAATGAGACACATCAAATAGCTATGTGATATTTATTGAGACCCTACTAAGGTACAAGGAATCACACTAGATAATACAATGTACTTAACATTAAAAGTTGTAGTCTGAAAGTACTTACCCATTTAAGAAGATAAGACACATATGCATGTAAAGATGGAAGTATATTTGTGGCAGGAAACCAAAATGCTAAATGACTGGTGTAGTCAGTTAATGCTTTTGGTATTCACAAAGCTAGCACTTTCAACTTTGATGCTTGCAAAGCACTGCAGGTATATGAAGTGTCTTGATTATGCTTCTGACATTCTGAACTGGGACCTTTCAAGTGTTTTTTTTCCCCTAATAAATACTTACCAAGTACATGCCTATCATGTTATAGCAACTAAAGAAACAAAAAGAATAAAACGTGCTCCTTGCACCTGGACATAGTTATTGGGTGAGATGAAAAACATAGCAACCTAAAATCATTTAAAAAGTGCTATAGTAAAGGTATCTACTTAGTGCCATGGTTCTATAGAAGGGAGAACTAGGAAGTCATGTTCATTGGGTGATGGGTGTGTGGCAGGAAAGGCTTCACAGAGGAAGGGGCATTTGAGACTGATAGGAATTTTTTTGGGTGAGAAGGGAAGAAGGGTGTTCTAGGCAATAGAAAATAGGAAGCATGCTGAGGAGTGTGTGTGTGCATGCCATGGTTTTAGGGAAGACAAGTGATGCCATTTTCAGAAAATTTGGGAGTAGTCCTAATTTGGGAAGGAAAATGGTTATTCACCCTTTTGTATGTGTGTTGTAATTTTGCCTTATATTGGAGAACAACACAGTTTTAATGATAGATATAATTTTTCAGAGAAAGCATATGGAAAATGAACATTGAAGAATGGACTGAAGAATGAATATGAGAAACACACACTTTACTAACAGGGAATGAGAGGAAAAGGAGACCTCTTTAGAGAAGTCCAACAGCAAGAGAGCTAAAATGGATTATAATGTCATTGAACCAATGGGCAAGATTTTACAAGAGGATAGTGAAATAACGCCACATACAGCGGTGTGCATGAGGAAATGAAATTAAAGGGGCCATTGGATTTGACAATAAAAGAAATATCATGAATTCAGTTTCAGGGATTTGAGGGGAGGGAGGAAGCTAGACTTTTGGGGAATAAGGGAAGAGTGATGCTTAAATACCAGATTTAAACCATTCATTTGAAAAATCTGTCAGTGAAAAGTAGGAGAGCAATAAAGTGAGCAGCTTGGTTAAGTGAAATATTTTTTTTAAGTTAGAGAAAATTTTTGTATATGTGATGGCAGAGGGGAACGTGCTAGTGTGGTAGGAAATACTATAGCTGGCAGAGAAAGAATAAGATGGAGTGAAGGTTGGGAGGAGATGAGAACATAGGTGATGGGGTTAATCTTTGAAAGGAGGAGAGGCAAACTCCCAGTTGGTCCAGAGGGAAGGTGAGCATGAGGGATGAGCAGAGGGAAGGAAGAATTACTGAGGAACAGAAGAGGAAAAAAGAGGGAATTTCTCTGTGATGGTTGTGATGTTCTCTGTGAATTTGGAGAAGGCAGAATCATCACGGTTTTAGAACTTCCTCTTCTATTTATGTATCCCGGGAGTGTGAATGAAGAAATCTCTGCCCACCTAACATAACCTATAGTTGGTGAGTGGTATGGCAGAAGTTTGAAAAGCCAAGGGAGTAAAGTTGTGGTATGTTCTACCATTAGAAAAATGTTAATACAAACAAAATATCAGGCAATGTAACACTCTAATACTATTTAAAAATGCAGTTATTGTACAGCATGATGACTACAGTTAATGTATATTATATTCTTTTTTGTTTGTTTTTTTTTTTTGAGATGGAGTCTTGCTCTGTCACCCAGGCTGGAGTGCAGTGGTGCGATCTCAGCTCACTACAAGCTCCACCTCCCAGGTTCACGCCGTTCTCCTGCCTCAGCCTCCTGAGTAGCTGGGACTACAGGTGCCTGCCACCACGCCCGGCTAATTTTTTGTATTTTTTAGTAGAGACAGGGTTTCACTGTGTTAGCCAGGATGGTCTCGATCTTCTGACCTCGTGATCCATCCGCCTCGGCCTCCCAAAGTGCTGGGATTACAGGCGTGAGCCACCGCATCCGGCCATGTATATTGTATTCTTGAAAAATGCAGATATAGTGGATATTAAGTGTTCTCACCACAAAAATGATAACTATGTGAGGTAATGCATTTGTTAGCTAGATTTAACTATTCTACAATGTGTATATACTTCAAAATATCATGTTGTATGTGGTAAATAAGTGCAATTATTGCTAATACATAAAGATTTAGAATAACCTTATTTAGGAACACTAAATGTATTACTAGTTTAATTTTAAAAGTTTTGTTACAGTAATTTAAAAGTATATTTTAGATAGACAAAATGATTAATTGACCTAATTTTAAAATGTTTCAAATTTTGCAGTGTAGTGTTATTTTTTAACTGAGGGCTTCTCTCTGAGACTAGTCAGTACTATTAAAAATTTAAGCAGCACAAATCCAACTCAAGCAGTCAAGCAAAAAATTAAAAGACAGTGGATATGTTAGATTAAGTAAATGGGAGTCCAAGATGGACTGATCTCAGGCATGCGTGGATCTAGAACCCTGATGATGATGTCAAGGGTCTTCTTCTGCTGTGTGGGCTGGCTCTGTTTCCACCTGCCATGGCTTCATTCTCAAGCAGGCTTCTGTTGTGTGCTTATAGCCTCAGGGCAACGTCATCACGGCTCACTGTCTGAAAGGAAGATAGACTCCTTCTCACCAGTTATATGGTAAATTTCAGAGGTGACTCTGTGTTCCTCCTTATGTCAGTTTTTCATCCCTTAATGTATCACGGTAGCCAGGAGTCAGGGGGATGGCAAACTTGATTGTCTGGATCCTGGGTTATGTGCTCATTTCTTGAAGGAGGTCACTGTGGTTATGAGTTGTCGGGGAGTAGTGGCTTTTAACATTTTTGGCACATTTCCTTTCAGTCTTATGTGTGTGTGTGTGTGTGTGTGTGTGTGTGTGTGTGTGTGTGTGTGTACATGTACGTCTTTGTTCTGTAACAAACCAAGTTGTCAAATGAAAGCCTTGTGTTGAAATCACATTCCTTAGGAAGGAATTAGTCTTTGATTGCTTATATAAGTGAGTCTTCACAACTTTTTTAGTTTATGTTTTCATAAAGATGCAGTGGAAGCCTTTTCTTTTTTATAAGTAAAAGTGTTTTTCATGTACATAACCTAATATTTTTAAGTCCTTCACAAAAATGAAGTAACTCTATGTGGATAACTTCAGTAGTAACAAAAAGAAACAAAACAACCATCCTGTCCCCCACTTGCCCCACCAACCTGGATTTCTCCTTGGGATTATGAAAGCAGTATGATGGAAGAGAAGGTACAGCTGGCTTTGGAGGCAGATAGATCTGGACTTTTAATGTTGTTGGGAGGATTTGAGATAATTACATAGAATCCTTAATATAGTAGTGCTAGGCTCATAATAGGTGCTTGATAAGTGATAACTGTTATTATAATTTTTTAAAAAAAATTATTGAGACAGGGTCTCACTCTGTCACCCAGGTTGGAGTGCGATCATAGCGCACTGCAACCTTGAACTCCTGGGCTCAGGACATCCTCCTGCCACAGCCTCCCTAGTAGCTGGAACTACAGGTGTATGCAACCATGCCTGCTAATTTTTAATTTTTTTGTAGAGATGGGGTCTTGCTGTGTTGCCCAGGTGGGTCTTAAACTCCTGGCCTCAAGCGATCCTCCCATCTTGGCTTCTGAAAGTGCCAGGATTATGGGCATGAGCCACTGTGCCTGGCCTGTTAAAATTCTTACTGATAAGCATTGACTTTTTTGTTTTGCTGAAAAGCACTGGATGTGAATGAAGTCCTGGGTTTTAGTCCTAACTCTTTTGGTAACCAACTGTATGCAACCAAAATATAAAACTACTTGACACACTGGGCCTTTGTTTTCTTGCCTGTAAAAATAAATGGATGGATTAGAAATTTTGTCTAGCTCTAAATTTCTACTATTTAATAGAGTAATTTGGGTTACACAAAAATATAAAATAGAAGGAATCCTAGTATACTGTAGGAAAATTAATGATCTTGGTTTTGATGTAAAACCAAGAGTTCCAGCTTCTCTTCCCAAACTTGCTAAACTTTAAGAACAACAATAATGACTGGAAAGTTTACAGTAAAAATGCATCTTATTTATGTTCAATAAAATTTTGTTTTGATTAGTGTCCCTAAAGTCTCTTCTAGCTCCAATATTTGATATTTCCTTTCCAATAAATTCTAGCCAGGAATATTACTTTAAATTATAAATGTATAGCTATTTTCGTCACAGCTGCCTGTCATGGTTTCGTTTGCTACCATGTCATGTAGCGTAGAGGGGTCATATGGAACTTTTTGTAACAGAATTTGACTCTACCTTACCAGTAGTTAGGCTTAATAGTGTATTGTGTTGGAGTATACCTGAGGAAAGAGAAATTAAGCCAGCAAAAAAGTATACAAACTTACAAAAAGGAAAATTCTGACCAGGCATTTGGAAATGAGCTGCGGCCTTTGGGGTCTGTTAAGATTCCTACAGTCAAGCCGGGTATTATTTAAGATGATTGTGAAAACCAAAGGAAATAATGTATGCAAACTTTTTAGTGTAGTATTTTCCATATATATTAGCCCCCACTATTGTTTTTATCCTATAGGAATATTTTTCCTCATAACAGATTTCAGGAACTAACATAAGATCAGAAAGAATAAAATTGTAGTTTGGGGTTTCGGTTGGCCTTCTTCAGTTTTTGGATATAAGATTCCAGTAGCATCCATATAAAAATTGCATTAGATTTTCCATTGGATATTTGCTGTTGACTAAATGTGGCTCGATAATTTTTGCAGGTCACTACTATAAGACTAGTGCTTCAGCTTTTTTGAAATAGTAGATTAAATTGGTAAATATGCAAAACTGCCCTTGGTTTTTTGATGCTCCCTTCTGCAGGTTCTGCTTTATGGCTATCATGATCTGAATTTGTTTCTTTATTTCTAAGTAGCTCTTCTTGAACTCTGTTTCAAAGAGTTTCCCTAACCTCAGAATTCTCACACCTGGCTGATTGGCCTCTAGGGAGTATTCAGAAGGCAGTCTTTGTGCTATTATACTTTTTTGTTGGCTGGATAAACATCAGTAGTGTTTAAATGAAATAATAACCCTGAAAAGATTTTTATTACCGTCTTTAAAACTTTATCCATGGCATGGCAAGTCCTGTTTCATTGAACATTTACATATGAAATACATGGGTTGATGGAATTATTAGGTCAAAAATGGCTTTTAATGGTTTTTAAGTAGTGAACAAGAAAATTTGAATTATCTTTTTTTCTTTTAAGGATTTCATTCTTTGTTACAATCTCCATATCTCTCATAGTTCAGAGATAATAGAAATTGTTTTTAATATTCATTCATTCATTCAAGAAATGTTTATTTAATACTCATTATGGGATAGGCCCTGAGGAATAACATAGATAACATACCTTATATTTTAAAAAGCTAGTAGCTCATTTTAATTTCATTTCAGAATAACTTTGTAGCTGCAAAATAAGACTAGTTTAAGCTATAAAGTCAATTAGCACACCAGTGAGTTTTGGGTAGGCTAGATGGTAAACTTCATCTTTCCAACATACTTAGCTTTATTTAACTTGATGTTTCTGAAGTGTTTTGACCTATTCAGCCATCACCCCTACTGAACCCACTTTCAGAAATAATAGTTAAGTATTTGCTAGGTTTTCATTAACTGGAACTGAACATTATTAGGTTAATTATATGATATTTATAGGGCAGAAATGGTGCATATCATTGTATTTTATGGCTTATCCTAACTAGTTGGGTGATACTGTCTTAATTTGCCTAAGGTAGTTCTGGTTTACTCTTGTCGCTCCAGTGTGATTATTATACATAATCTCTCTTTTTTTTTTTTCCTCGAGACTGAGTCTCACTCTGTCGCTGGGCTGGAGTGCAATGGCGCGATCTTGGCTCACTGCAACCTCTGCCTTGTGGGTTCAAGCAATTCTCCTGCCTCAGCCTCCCGAGTAGCTGGGACTACAGGTGTGCGCCACCACACCCAGCTAATGTTTGTATTTTTAGTAGAGACGGGGTTTCACCATGTTGGCCAGGATGGTCTTGATCTCTTGACCTCGTGATCCGCCCACCTTGGCCTACCAAAGTGCTGGCATTACAGGCGTGAGCCACTGCACCTGGCCCATAATCTCTTCCTTAAATCTTAGAAGTGCCCTGGGTGAATTATATGGCCCTCTTATAGCTAACACTCTTAGTTAGAAAACATATTATGTGCCAGGCAGCATTGTAAGCATTTGATATATATTAACTGAGGCCTCACAACAGCCCTGTAAGGTTGGCACTGCTTTATCCTTGATTTGCAGATGAGTAGACTGAGGTACAGAAAAGTTAAGTAACTTGTCTAAGGTTGTACACCTAGCAAGTAGTAGGGTCAGGATTCAAACACAAGCACATTTGGTCCTGGAAGGTATACTCCTAAACAGTGTGCTTTTCTGGTACAGATGAGATTGCTCAATGAACATGTTTAAGAGAAGGATGAGAGGATAGCACTCTGGAGAATACTGACATTTAAAAGCAAGTAAAGGAAATAGAAACTTGGAAATAAGACAGAGAATAAGAGCTAAAAAAAAAGGAACTTTAAGTTATAGACAGAATTCAGTTACTTGGATCCCCCCACTCCCCAAGAATTGTCTTCATCCTTTTTTAACTAGAAAGAAATATTTTTCTTTTCACTATTTAATAAGTGCCCCAAAGTGCTAGATAGTTTTCCTTTGAAATATAGTAAAAGAGCATTTATTGAAAGCAGCTTGTTTATGTGTGCTTTGTTTAAAAATTAGAGACATTTTATTTTTTCTTAAGTAACAGAAATCAGACTTTCAAAAAAGCTCTTTAAACCTAGACTAACTTATTTATGACAATTTTGTCATATATTTGAAAGTTAATTTTAGGAAAATTACAGAGCCTTTTAACCACCCTATGGCCAGACTTCAGTGTTGTTCTTTTTATTTCTACCTCATTTCATGTTGAGTCTTAACTTCGCTGTCTCTCTTTATCATCCCCTACCCCTAGTCTGAATGTTGAAGAATGCTAAAGTATATTTTATTGCTTCATTGACTAAAACTATGTTTCTAAAACTATGAATTTGCTTAATGAGTCAGCAACTGTAACTATAATTAACAGTATAGTTTTTACAACCATAGTTTTGTGGTAAATGTGCAGTTCTCAGAATTTAAATGTAAACGTTCAATGAAATTAAACAAAACCCAAATCTTCATGCAATAGGTAGTATATATGTATTCAGTAAGGGTCACCAAACATTAATTGAGGTTCTATTATGGTTAACTTTTCTACTTTGTACTTAGGGATAAAAAGATGAGTAAAATTGTTTCCTGCATTTTTCCCCACCCATTCCCTCCCCATTTTCTTTCTTTCCTACCTTCCACAGCCCCATTGAGTGTCTACTTAATGTGCCAAGCACACAGTATATAAAGATATAAAGAGCTCAAGGATGTAAAGATAAATGAGGATCTAGTGCCTGCCCTAGTTCAGTTATCCCTTAGGAAGACAGACCAGTCCTATGTCAGTCAGCTCAGAAAAGTGCAATAACTGTTGAAGCCAGGGCCACACCCAGTCTTGTCTGGGTTCACTACCCCACTTTCCACTCATACTTTAGCGATGAACAGAATTTAAGTCATCTAAAAGGAGGAGCAAGATTAAAACAGTGAAGGAGGTATGATGAGTAACAGAAAGGAGCTCATTGGTGACTAATGAAAGAGCAACTGCTGTGTTAAGGGGTTGATGACCATATTCGCCAGTGTGGAGTTGAAGGTTAAGGAGTGAATGGGAAATGAGAAAGTAGACTTCAAAAAAGCTGGATGTTGTGGAGAGGAATAGAGAAAATTAGAGGTTGAACATGTAGTAAGAGTGAGTGAATATTTTTTAGAATGGGGAGATAAGTGTGTTTGTTTGCTGTCTAGGAGTGAGCTATAGAATTGTCCAGGTGAGATGGAAAGATAACAGAGAGAAGATATGAGAACAAAATCCTGTAGGAAATTAGATAATATCAAGAACATAAATAGAAGGCCTGGCACAAAGTCTCATGCCTATGATCCCAGCACTTTGGGAGGCTGAGGCAGGCAGATTGCTTGAGCCCAGGAGTTTGAGACCAGCCTGTAACATAGCGAGACCACATCTCTACAAAACAAAAAAAAAAAAAAAAAAAAAAAATTAAAAATTAGCCAGGTGTAGTGGTGCATGCCTGTAGTCCCAGCTATGTGGGAGATCAGGAGGCTGAGGTGGGAGGATCGCTTGAGTCCAGGAGGTCAGGCTGCAGTGAGCAGTGGTCATGCCACTGCAGCACTCCAGTCTGGGTGACACAGTGAGACCCTGTCTTAAAAAAAAAAAAAAAAAAAAGGGCCTGGCACAGTGGCTCACGCCTGTAATCCCAGCACTTTGGGAGGCCTGTAATCCCAGCACTTTGGGAGGCCGAGGCAGGCGGATCACGAGGTCAGGAGATCGAGACCATCCTGGCTAACATGGTGAAACCCCGTCTCTACTAAAAATACAGAAAATTAGACGGGTGTGGTGGTGGGCGCCTGTAGTCCCAGCTACTTGGGAGGCTGAGGCAGAAGAATGGCATGAGCCCAGGAGGTGGAGCTTTTAGTGAGCCGAGATCACACCACTGCACTCCAGCCTGGGTGACAGAGTGAGACTCCATCTCAAAAAAAAAAAAAGAAAAACTGTTTTTTGGTTTTTTTTTTTGTTATCCTAACTTTTGAATTACTTCATAAAGAAGTTTAGTGATCTATTTGATTATGTAGAAGCTCTTCTGATAGTTATACATGCTTAATCATTTAAGAATAATTAAAGGAACTATATTGTCATGTTATCAGGCATTCCTTTATGAAAATGTTAGAAACTCCTCTTTCATCTATACCTTCCCCACTGTTTAACCCTCCAATCAAAAGCACATATTCTGTGGTAAGAACAGAGAATATCTATTTTAAAGGTCATTTGTGTCAAATTGTCCTAACTAGCTGTTGGGATTGGGAGGTGCTATTTGGGTCATAAATAGCAAGTTTTCTCTCCCAATAAAGCAATGTCTGAGAATCCCAAGATTCTCATTTAGTAGATCTGGGTTGAGACCTAGAAGACAGTTAATTCATTTAGCCACCAAATGTGTATTGAGTGTCTTCCTATTATATATTTATTACCATATTGTGTAGGTAGTGTTAGAAGACATCCCAGGTGCCTACTCTGTAACTGGCGGAGAGATAATAAACAAACAGGATAATTTTATATAGTGCTAAGTTCTGTGAAGAAAGTATACCATGATATGTGCCAGATAATTACCTGGCAGGGGAAAGGAGAGAGAGAGCTTTGCATAGAGTGATCTTGGGAGGTGTCTTTTGAAGAGATAACTCTTATTTTTTATCTTGCTTTTTTTTTTAAAAAAGTATTTTTTAGGTTGTAGTAAAATATATATAACATAAAATTTACCATTTTAACCATTTGTAAGTGCACGTTTCAGCGACATCAAGTACATGCACATTGTTTTGCAACCATTCACCACCATCTGCCTCCAGAACTTTTTTCATGTTGTGAAACTGAAACTCTGCAGCCATTAAACAGTAATTTTTTATTTTCTCTCTCCTCTCAGCCCCTAACAACAACCATTCTTTCTGCCTTCTTAAATTTGACTGCTTTAGTGCCTCATGTAAGTGGATCGTACAGTATTTGTGTGACTGGCTTATTTCACTTAGCGTAGTGTTTTCCAGGTTCATCCATGCTGTGGCACATGTCCGCATCTCCTTCCTTCTTAAGGCTAAATAACACTCCATAATATGGATGTACCACATTTTGTCTGTCCACCTTTGAACTGAGATCTGAAAAATGAGAAGGGGCCATGCAAGAACTAGAAGAAGAACGTTACAAGCAGAGGAAAGAACATGTGCAAAGGCCCTGAGATAGCAATAAACTGGTTGGTGGTCTAGGCCAGTGTTGTCAGAATATATTAATAGTAGAGAAAAGTGCCTGGAAAGAATGGTATTAAATGGGATCAGAGATAGACATACATTGGCCGTATTATTTTAGGCTTTGAAAGACCTTGGCTTTTAAGTGGAGTGAGAAGCTGCTTATTAGGAAGTTTTAAGTGGGGGAGTGACTTAATCTGATTTCCATGTAACAGCAAAAGCAAAAATCACCCAGACTGCTGTGTGGACAAGCATCCTTGTGGATTCTAATGCAAGTCTGTGATCGGACTTTGAGAAATACTAATTTAGTCCTTAAGTCAGTATCCTGAGATAGCTGATTTCAAAAGAGCTCTCTCAGGGCTTCTGACCAAAAGTGACAGATTGGCTACACCTGTACATCTCTTCTTATTTCCTAATCCCTGCCTAAATGGAAGAAAGAAATCAGAGACTGGGAGAGGTTACAACAGGAGACAGAAGCTGCTATACCTCTTTCAAATAAGCAGATGGACAGGTAGTGACTGACTTTGCAGAGGAATCACACAGTACCTGTAAGTGCACAAAAATACCTGTAAGAAATGCAGTACTGTGTTTGTCCGAAGCTCCCAAGAGTCTCAGCATTTGGAGGCACCAGATACTAAGGAAGATAGGGGTCAGAAATGGAGCTGAAAACAGGGGAGCTGGTCGGAAAATCTGTGTACACTGACAGGTGGACCCCTACGATTTTCTCCCTATGTGCCCTTGTGGATGGGTGAGTCCCTTCACTACCAACTCCCTGGCCTCAGGAGAACAAGGTTTATTCTTTGCAAAATTAATGAAGAGCTGTCTGGACTTTGAAACCAGGGGCCGTGGATTGTTGCTTGGTTTAAAACAAGGAGATCGGCCGGGCGCGGTGGCTCACGCCTGTAATCCCAGCACTTTGGGAGGCCGAGGCGGGTGGATCACGAGGTCAGGAGATCGAGACCATCCCGGCTAAAACGGTGAAACCCCGTCTCTACTAAAAATACAAAAAATTAGCCGGGCGTAGTGGCGGGCGCCTGTAGTCCCAGCTACTTGGGAGGCTGAGGCAGGAGAATGGCGTGAACCCGGGAGGCGGAGCTTGCAGTGAGCCGAGATCCCGCCACTGCACTCCAGCCTGGGCGACAGAGCGAGACTCCGTCTCAAAAAAAAAAAAACCAAAAAAAAAAAACAAAAAAAAAAAACAAGGAGATCAAGGGAAACCTACGCCTGAACTATAGAAGTGTTAGCTCTCTTCCTCTGCTCTCCTTCCAGAACTGCACAGTCAAGCCTGTCCTATCCTTCTCCTGTGGAAGACTGAAGATAACAGCATCTTCAGATACTGATAGGCTTTCTGCTGAGAGTACCTTAAGTGAATTCTACCAGTCGTTAAGCCCTGTTTTCCCACACAGATCTTTCAGTTAGTTCTTTTCAGGGGCTTATTCTTAAATATGAGCAAACAATCTAACACCATTGGTCATCTGGGGGAAGACTCCAACATTAAAAAAAAAAAAAAGTAGACATAGAGAGGTGGAGAGGGAGTGATACTTGGAACACTGGGAGAAAACAGATACCATAAGGGATCAAAAGAAAACTTTAAAAATCTCCAGTATTATCAGAGAAGACATGTATTTCCTTCCCCACTTAAATGATAGTGAACACATATAAAAGCAGAAATCCATGAGGGTAAAGAGAACGAGATGAGAGATGACAGCAGGCAAACAACGTCAACTAAATATTGGAAGCTGAGAACCTGGTGCGTGAGTGGTAACAGAATTTAGCAGAGCTGAGAAAGCAGAAAGTCCTATGGTGTGGGTAGTTGTGCAAAAACTGGTATTCTTTTAATTAATGATGTGCTTTGCTCTATTTGGACTGCTGGGTTCTTATTTTTGAGCAGTATGCTCTCTCCCAGTTGAAGCTGTTAATGGGCTGTCCACCAATGGAGAAATCAGAATGATTAAAATGTAGTTCTTGTATTTTTATGGTTCTCTTAAGCAGTCATGCATTATACTCTTCTTCTTGTGTCTGAGCCAACATTTCATAGGAGTAGATAACACCCATTTCTGGTGGCACTGACAGCAGGGTTGAAAAGAATGTTATAAAAGAAAATATGAATAACATTTAACTTAAGAATATGTTCCAAATTTTGTTTGTAAAGTAGTTGTTTAAAACTTGGTAGTTCTTTTTGATATAATGTTATAAATGGCAGTTATCCTAGACCAAACTTTAAAATATGTTTCATTAGCAATTAAATGGGCATTTGTAAGTTCCCAGGGAAACCTAATCACATTGTATAGTATTTTTTAATGAAGAAACACTAGCTGGGTACAGTGGCTTATGCCTGTAATCCCAGCACTTTGGGAGGCCAAGGTAGATGAATAGCTTGAGTCCAGAAGTTTGAGACCAGCCTGGGCAACATGGTGAAACCTCATCTCTACAAAAAATACAGAAAAATTAGGTGGGCATGGTGGCTTGCGCCTGTAGTCCCAGCTAATTGGGAGGCTGAAGCGAGAGGATCACCTACGCCTGGGAGGTTGAGGCTGCAGTGAGCTGAGCCATGATCGTGCTACTGCACTGTACCCTGGGTGACAGAATGAGACCCTGTCTCAAAAAAAGAAAAAATGCTTTTTAATGGTAAAATGGCTACATGGATTTAGATTTAGACTTGAATTCAAGTCCTACTTCTACCATTTTTCTGCTATGTAACCATAAGTAAATTTCTAATGTTTCTGGGTCTCAGTAGAATGAGAATAATATCTAATCAGAGGGTAGTTGTGATGATTAATGGATGTTAAAGTAGATGAGCTACTCAGTCGAGCTCCTAGACCCTAGGGAGTCAATAAATAGTCGGTTTTCTTCACCCTTTTTTTTTTTTTTTGAGACAGTTTTGCTCTGTTGTTGAGGCTGGAGTGCAGAGTGCAGTGGTGCGATTATAGCTCACTGCAGCCTTGATCTCCTGGGCTCAAAGGATCCTCCCTTCTAAGCCTCCTGAGGAGCTAGGGCTACAGGTGTGCACCATTGTGTCTGGCTAATTTTATTTTTTTATAGATACAGGGTTTCACTGTGTTGCCCAGGCTGGTCTTGAACCCCTGGCCTCAAGAGATCCTCTCACTTCAGCCTCCCATAGCATGTGGGATTATAGGTGTGAGCTACTGTGCCCAGCTGTTGTTTTCAGTTTTACTCTTCTGTGGTATGTGGTAAGAGGGAGCATTTGTTTTCTAGAGCCTGCAGCATGTGTGGGTCAGTTGAAAATGTATAAAAATTTTGAGTTACGCACGGTGGCTTGTGCCTGTAATCCCAATACTTTGGGAGGCTGAGGAGGGAGGACTGCTTGTGCCAGGAGTTTAAGACTAGCCTGGGCAACATAGTGAGACCCTGTCCCTAAAAATATGTAAAAAAAATTTTAAAATAAAAATTTTGAAATGCAATTTGTGTCTTAAAATTCTGCCTTATTTATTTGCAACGTGTGTTTCTTGTCATGTATTTGCTGCTGTATGCTGGTAGAAAAAGCATAGAGAGTGGACTCAGGCAGTCCATGCTCTAGCCTCCTGTTCTACTCTGAACTAGATGTGTGACATTGTAAGTGCTGCTGCTTCACTTCGGGTGTTACTCCTGATTTGCACAGTGAAAAGTGTTTTATTACAAGATGATTTCTAGAAGTTTGTTTCTGTTCTGACATTAGATGACCTGTGATATGTGAAGCTTAAGACATCTTTTTTCATTACTGGGTTTATACGGGGTGTTGAGGCTTGTGATACATTTACTGTTATAAATTCATTTTAATGTGTTTGGAGGACTTGAGATGATTGGAGATTATTAGATTGATAGCTGATGTTTGGCTTTATTATTGGAAAATAGTTCTAGCTACGAAACCTGTTTTTGAGTGAAAGTATGCTAGGAATGGCCATTGCTTTTCTTCCTACAGAGATAAGTGATCTCTTGGTGTTGTACACATGAAGCTCTCACCTTTATTTTTAAAGTCATGGATTTTACCTTGGCTCCTATAAACTCTTCTCCCCTCCCCCATGTAGCTGTAAGCATTCCTACTCCTAGGATGATTTGGAATGTGTGTGTTTCAAATCATGTTTAGTGATTGTAAGGCTAATCTCAGCTTAATTATCACTGCCAAAGGAATCCTCTGACCCCCAGGGCCAGATCATGTTGTTTGCTTTCATGGTATATTTTTCCCTTTTCATAGTCCGGGTTATATATATAGATGTATAATTCCATAATATCTTGTCAGCAAAACTGGAAGCTCTGGGAGGGCAGTGACTGTATCTCTTTTGCTGACTTTTATCTATAATGTCGGGCACATGATTGGCAGCATTGGAGACATATTTTTGAGTTAAGTGAATAAATTGTTTCCCCACAAATAATAAATTAATAGAAATTTAATGGTAAAAGCTCAAAATGTTTATTAGAATCATGATGGTAGCCTTTGTTATTACCAGTGAATTTAAAAGGAAAGAATAACCAAGGTGTTTGTATAAATGACTTATTATTGTTTGTGCAAGAACAGTGAACGTTCCCTAGTACAGGAAGCAGCTTTAAAAAACTGCTGGCAGAACTAAGAAGTCAGACTGTCCTTGACCCCTAGATCAAATGTTTTTGAGCCTGAGTTTCCTTAAATCTTCTTCAGTTGAGAATAAACATTTTGACAAAATAGAAGATTTATTCTGTTAATTTTTGGTCTTCATAAACCTAACTAAATTTGCTAAAACAACAAAAACTTTCTAATTTTTACTAGTTTTGTTTTTTAAAAAGTTTGTTTCCTTTTAAGTGCATAACACTTTAAAATGAGCTCAGCTGTATTAGCAGATAAACATGTTGATTCATTTGGTCCAGAGCTACTGAATGAAGCTTGCAGGAGCACAGTTTGTTCTTTATGCCGCCCAGGGGCAGAATGTTTCTCTTCCTCTCCTCCTTATTGAGAGAAGGGGACTGGAATAAGTGACTCCTCTTATTTAGGTTTGCCTGAATTGTTGACGAGGGAAGGGGGCAAGATTTCTTCACCATTTATCCTTCGTCTCATTTAAATTCTGTTCATTAACATAAAGTATATGCACTCATACTGTGATATACATGTTGAATTATTAGTGTCATATATTTACAGTTTTTACAAAACCATTTTACTTAATGCTCTGGTTTGAGTAATCTGTTGTTTAAAGGTATAATGAATCAGAGTTGTTTTTAGGCGTATTGCGTTTTTGAGGATGGACTTAATTTTGGAAGCAAAGAGAAGTATGTTCTATCCAGTGGAGTGGAGTTGAGATAATAGGTATGCAGTTCGCCTCTCATACCCATTGTGGGTTCTGCATCTGTGGTTCTATCAACTGTGTGTCAAAAATACTTGAGAAAAAAAAAAAAGAATGGTTACGTTCATACTGAACATGCATAGACTTTTTCCCCTTATTTTCCCCTAAACAATACAGTGTGACTATTTATATAGTATCTACATTGTATTAGGTGTTTTAAATAATCTAGAGATGATTTAAAGTACAGGCCTAGCTTGTTTTATTGCACTTTGCTAATACTGCATTTCTTACAAATTGAAGATTTGTGGCAACCTTGAGTCGAGCCAGTCTATCAGTGCCATTTTTCCAAGAGCATGTGCTTATGTTGTGCCTCTGTGTCACATTTTGGGTAATTCTTGCAGTATTTCAACTTTTTCGTTATTATTATACCGGTTATGGTGACCTATGATCAGTGATCTTTGATGTTACTGTTGTAATTGTTTTGGGGCACCACGAACCATTACCCATGTGAGGTGATGAACTTAATAAATGTGTATGTTCTTAATGATCCAGCAACTGGCTGTACCCCTGTCTCTCTCACTCCTGAGACACAACAATATTGAAATTAGTCCAGTCAGTAACCCTAAAATGGCCTCTACATGTTCAAGTGAAAGGAACAATCACACGTCTCTCTGGAAATGAAAAGCTAGAAATGATGAAGCATAGTGAGGAAGCTATGTTGAAAGCCAAGACAGGCAAAAAGCTAGTCCTCTTGAGCCAAGTGAATGCAAAGGGAAATTTCTTGAAGGAAATGAAAAGTGCTATTCCAGTGAACCCATGAATGATAAGAAAGCGAAACAGCCGTATTGCTGATAAGGAGAAAGTTTGAGTGGTCTGGGTAGATCAAACCAGCCACAACATTTCCCTAAACCAAAGCCTAATCCAGAGGCAGGCCCTAACTCTCTTTAATTCTATGAAGAGAGATGAGAAAGCTGCAGAAGAAAAGTTAGAAGCTAACAGAGGTTGATTCATGAGGTTTAAGGAAAGAAGCCGTCTCCGTAACATAAAAATGCAAAGTGAAGCAATCAATGTTGATGTAGAAGCTGCAACAATTTATCCAGAAGATCTAGCGAAGATCATTGATGAAGGTGGTTACACTAAACAATAGATTTTCAGTGTAGACAAAACACTCTTCTATTTGGTGAAGAAGATGTTATCCAGGACTTCATAGCTAGAGAGAGAAGTCAATGCCTGCCTTCAAAGCTTCAAAGGACAGTGACTTTCTTGGTCGTAGCTAATGCAGCTGGTGACTTTAAGTTGAAGTCAGTGCTCCTTTACCATTCCAAAAATCCTAGGACCCTTAAGAATTATGGTAAATCTGTATTCTGCCTGTGCTCTATCAGTGGAAAAAGAGAGCCTGGAAGCCAGCACATCTGTTCATAGCATGGTTTACTATTTTAAGCTTACTGTGGAGACCTACTGCTCAGAAAGATTCCTTTCAAAATATTACTGCTCATTGACAGTGGACCTGGTCACCCAAGAGCTCTGATAGAGATGGACAAGGAGATGAATGTTGTTTTCATGCCTGCTAACACAACATTTATTCTGCAGCCCAGGTATCAAGGACTAATTTCAACTTTCAAGTCTTATTATTTAAGAAATACATTTTCTAAGGGTATGGCTGCTGCCATAGGTAGCAATTCCTCTGATGGCCCTGAGCAAAGTCAGTGAAAAACTTTCCGGAAAGGACTCACCATTCTAGATGCCATTAAGAACATTCATGAATCATGGGAGGAGGTCAGAATATCAGCATTAACAAGAGTTTGGAAAAAGTTGAATTTCAACCCTCATGGATGACTTTGAGGGATTCAAGACTTCAAAGAAGAAAGTAACTGCAGATGTGGTAGAAATAGCAAGAGAACTAGAATTAGCAGTGGAGCCTGAAGATGGAACTGAATTGTTGCAGTATTATGATAAAACATTAATGGATGAGGAGTTGCTGTTTTTTATCTGTTTATTAAAAAGATTTTTTTAAAGACAAAGTCTCATTCTGTTAGGCTGGAGCAGAATACAGTGGCACGATCCTAGCTCACTGCAGCCTTGAACTCCCTGGCTAAAGCGATCCTCCCTTCTCAGCCTTCTAAGTAGCTAGGACCACAGTCACACACCACTGTGCCTGGCTAATTTTTTAAAAAAATTATCTTTTGTACAGACAGGGTCTTGCTTTCTTGCCCAGGCTGTTTTCGAACTCCTCGCTTCAGGCGATCCTCCTGCTTTGGCCTCCCAGAGTGCTGGGAATACAGGTGTGAGCTACCACCCCTGGCCAGGCATTGCTTCTTATGGATGAGCAAAGTAGGTGGTTTCTTGAGATGGATTCTACTCCTTGAGAAGATGCTGTGAACATTGTTGAAATGACAACAAAAGGATTTAGAATATTACATAAACTTAATTGATACAGCAATGGCATGATGTGAGAGGATTAACTCAAATTTTGAAGAAAGTTTTACTGTGGATAAATAGTATGACACGTTACAGAGATATATTTCATAAGGAAGAGTCAATTGATGTGGCAAACTTTATTGTCTCATTTTAAGAAATTGCCACAGCCACTCTAACCTTCAGCAACTGCCACCCCAATCAGTCAGCAGCCATCAAGGCAAGACCTTCTACCAGCAAAAAGTTTATGACTTGCTGAAGGCTCAGATGATCCTTAATTAAGGTATGTGCATTTTAAAATCATAATGCTGTTACACAGAAGACTATAGTATAGTGTAAACATAACTGTCATATGAACTGGGAATCCAAAAAATTTGTGTTACTCACTTTATTGTGGTGGTCTGGAACAGAACGTGCAATGTCTCGAGGTATGCCTGTATACAGGATAATGTGTGTAGGTTATATGCAAATACTATACCATTTGATATAAGAGACTTGAATATCTGTGGATTTTAGTATCCTTAGTGGGTCCCGGAATCAGTCCCCCCCACGAATACCCAGGGATAGCTGCACTCACACATAATGAATTTATAGTGGAAATTCTATGAAATGTATATAGAGTTGTTATAATATACCTAGGATGATCATTGGTATTTCGGAATAGCTTTTAGAATATGACCAAGATACATGACATCTACTATTATATAAACCTGTGTTTGTTTCAGCATGTTTTTTTCCTATGTTTTGTTCCATGTTAGATGTCATGAGTTTGCAAAGTATAATAAGCTATATTCCCTGCCTTCAAGTAGCTTACCATCCATGTACCATTTCCCAAAGTGTACATCATTAGCAGGTAGGTATTCCTCAAAAATAGATTATTGTCTCTGATTAAGTTTCAGAGATACCTGGATTAATCAAAATTGAAAGTTTTTTTTTAGAATAGGGTTCTCAAATGCATACATTAGGGAATTCCAGAAAGCGACTGTATGTTGCAAGGTTTTCCAAGCTTTGTCGACACACTATTTTTTTTCTCATGAAACTTCTGTGGTGGGATCTGAGGGGAATGGAGGTGGGGAAGAGAGTGGCAGTGGTGTTTTTAGGAAGAAGATTAATGTAGGAGAGGAGTGGGAGGAACACCTAGGACAGTAGCTGTGTACCTGGCCTAGGTTCCTCAGTCCAGATGGTAGCAAGTCTGAAGACAGGGAGAGACTTCTTCCAGAAGATGAAATTCATAGAAACCTGAGGCAAATTGGTATACTCAAAGGAGCTTTGTCAGACTGGAGAGTCTGGGGTGAATTGGGATAAATATATAGTAGATAAGTATGTAGAAAACTAAAGAAATGAGAAACAAATTATTAATTGCAAGGGAAACAAAATGTTATGCAGGAAAAGAAAAGTAATTATTGTTTACTGCTTGGTTCAGCTCTGAATACCCTATGTAGTTATAATGACATAAGCCTCAAATATTGATCTAACCAAAGTTAGGATTGTGTTGAGACATCGGGGGTGGGAAGTGTGGAGGATGCCAGGACCAGGAAACAGCTATATCTCAAATTTCCTCAACTGGCAGTCACTGAATAAAGAAAGCTTTTGGGAAAAGGAAATATTGGAGAGGGAGCTGGGACTAGTTTTTCATAACAAGCCTTGTAGATCTAGTTAATTTAAAAAAATGTGCATGGGTAACATTTATTTTTACCTTTATCAGATATTTTTCTAGATCAAAATTTTTACAATTGTTTTAGCTTCTCATTGAAATGTTGTCTTACTAGGTTAAAGTTTCACGTGTGTAATTGGATTTGAAAAATGTAAATTCACTTTGTCGTTGCCTTTATGATTTAGCTACAAAGATCTTACTTATGGATGAGATGATGACTGGCAGTTATTCCACACCAACCACTCTGGGACCAAGGTTTTCTAGATTAACCTAATCCTACAGTCCTTTTATTCTGTGTTTCCCACTCCTACATTTTAAACTTTGTATCTGTATTATGCTCTTCTGTGCTTGTTAGAATACACACTGTGTTCTCAGGTCAGTTCTTACATGGGCCTCTTCTTTTTTTTGCCTTCTTTAATTTCCTTTTCTTCACAGCTTTTTTAGCATGTCAGTAGCAGAGCTGACTTTATGTAGTGAGAAGCTACTGTGTGCTTCTCTCTTGACCCTTCTCCCCAAACATGGATGGAAGGGCAGAACAAGAGACCTGTGGGTGAGTAGGAAGGGCTGAGGAATGCCATCACCCTCCAGCATTTCTGGTTCAACAGCTTCTAATCATTTTTACCATCTCCACCGCGCACCCCCCCACCCCGTGCTTTTAATAACTTCAAGTTTCATGATTGACTGGTTTACTTTTATTTGCTTATTACATACTTATTTGTTGGATTCAGAGCTCTTAATTGTTAGTAGAAATGAACTTACTAGTTAACTTTTGCTAATTTAAGTATAAACAGAATTAATTGAAGATATTTGTGGTTTCTTGAGCTGATGGAAAGGCCAGGCTATTAAGATTGGGGCTGCACAGCTAGGAACAACAATACCACCATTCCTAAAATAGCTGTAGAACAACACTTAAATAACTGACTATCCTGCTTTTAAAGACTGCTATTCTTTTTTTACAAACTTGTAGGTTGAGAAATTTTTACTTCTATTTTCAATTAGAAGTCTTTGGGAAAATTATGGGATGACTGGATTTGTGTATATCTATAATCCAGAGATAAGGAAAAAGAGGAAACACAGATTTTCAGGAGATGGAAGCATAACTTTGTTCTGCTTTGTGCTTGAATACCTCTTTTTGATCAGGGTTAGAGGATAACCTTAGGTCAGTGCATTTCCCTTGTGTTTTTGTTAACAAAACATAGTTCAGATCCCTTGATTAAAACCCTCCACTGGTTTCTTGTCTCATGAAGAAGAAAAAATCCTAACTGTTCTTGATGATCTTTAAGGCTCAGAATGATCTGGACAGAGGTATTTACCTTGAAGCTCATAAAGCATAGGCCTTTCTCACTTGCAGAGTATCTTTCTGAAGCTGGACTAAATTGGTTAAGGCCACTGTACTTTTCCACTTTGTCTTCTTTCCTGTCACACACCCTATCCTTTCAGGCTGTGTTGGGATGGACAAAAGCAGTTCTGGAGTCCTAAGGAGAAGATGAGTGGGATATGTTTCTGTGACCTGCAGTCATTTTAAAGTTTAGCTGTTGCTAGCTGACTCCATGTAAGAATACCTTCCAGGAATTTGATGGCTGTGCACTCTGGCAGTGCAGCTGGCATGGTTATAGGGTGCTTGGCCGAAGGTTTGCATAGCAATATGAACGCATCCTACGACACATCTAGCCAACACTGGAAGACTGTGGGTAATGGACGAGAAACCAAGATTGACTTTTTGCAAGTTTTTAAAAATAATCTTCTTGTAACTCACATGTGAAAGAAACATGAGAGGTTTTCACAAATTCAGTAATTTGAGACATTTACATAGCATCACCAATAGTTGTGAAGCTGAAACTTTAGTTCTAAACTATAAGTAGTAAAAAAAAAACGTTGATTCTCTATTGTAAACAAAAGACAACTATTTTCTGTGTTCTCTGTGTAGAAAATTATATTATAAAATTGAGGTGGGGCTGGGCACGGTGGCTCACGCCTGTAATCCCAACACTTTGGGAGGCCGAGGCGGGCAGATCGCAAGGTCAGGAGATCGAGACCATCCTGACTAACACGGTGAAACCCCGTGTCTACTAAAAATACAAAAAAAAAAAAAAAATTAGCTGGGCATGGTGGCTGGCGCCTGTAGTCCCAGCTACTCACACCTGCGGCTGAGGCAGGAGAATGGTGTGAACCCAGGAGGCGGAGCTTGCAGTGAGCCGAGATTGCACCACTGCACTCCAGCCTGGGCGACAAAGCAAGACTCCATCTCAAAAAAAAAAAAAAAAAAATTGAGTTGGACAGTGGCTTGTACCTGTAATCCCAGCTACGGGGGAGGCTGAGGCAGGAGGATCACTTAAGCCGGGAGTTGAAATCCAGCCTGGGCAATATCGTGAGACTGTGTCTCTACAGAAATAATAATAAAAAATAGCTAGGCGTGGTGGTGCACTCCTGTAGTCCCAGCTACTCGGGAGGCTGAGGTAGGAGGATCCCTTGAGCCCAGGCCTTTGTGGCTGCAGTGAGCTATGATTGTGCCACTGCACTCCAGCCTAGGGGTGGGAGGGGGAGCACAGGAGGCCGTGAAGGCCAGCCCTGCTGGCTGTGGCTACTGTGCGTGGACCAAGAGCATGTGCAGCATGAGGGCTATGGTGGTGCCCAGAGAGCAGTGTCCAGCGTGAGGGAGATTGTGGTGCCTGGAGACCTGGCAGTATCACCCGGCATGAGGGAGATGCTGGTGCACCGGCTGTGGATGTGAGCTTGCCTGGTGCCAGAACTCGGAGGGGCCAGACTCTAATTTAGTACTTTTTTATGTGATTGGCAGTTTCTAAAAATTTGTAATTTGATGTCGTTTCCTTTCTTATTCTGAATAAATATTCAATTTAGGACCTAAATTTGTTTTTATAGTTTTATGTTCCTTTTTTTTTTTGAAGAGGGCTGTTCCCCCAATTTTATAAGCTTTAAAATTCCGTTAAAACCTGGATTGACCCCTGGGTTTCCTTGTCTGCCTTTTTAATCTTGTCTCATACTCACCCCCTCATTCCCTGCAGTCTAGGCACTTTCATCTTTCTGTTCCTCAAATGGATTATGTTTGTTCTCATGTCAGGATTTCTGCACTTGCCTGGTCTCCTCTTTCCTTAGCTTTTTGAAGGATTTTTCATTATGTACTTCTCAGGACGGGTGTCTTCTCAGAGAGTCTTAGAACACCCAATCTAAAGTATCTTTTCTCCCTCCCTCATCTCTGTCACGTCATCCATTTTGTTTTCATAGCATTTATCAGCATCTTTTTTATTTGTTTATATTTTTGTTGGCTGTCTCTGCCTTTTAGAATATAAGTTCAGTGTATTAATATGAGAGCTGTATTGTTCACTGCTGTCTTCCCAGAGTCTAGAATAATGGCTGGACTTATTAGCATTCAACAGGTATTTTTTGGATGAAAAATTACTAAAAAGCTGGAATTTGTACATTTTCCCATGGGTTTATTTATAATACTAGCATAATTTCTTATTGTTAATTTTGTGTTTGTGTATGGTACTGCTTTCTATTATCAATTGTATAAACTCGTTTGATCTTTTCTGCTGAAAATGTTGACTAAGTTATTATTTACCATTCATTTTGGTTAAACATATTTTGTTATAGACTATTCAAGCAGTCAGAAGACTATAGAGAAGAATAAAGTGAGCACTAAAGTACCCATGTCCTAGCTTTGTCGTACTTTTTCACCAGATTTTTTTTAAGAATTAAAAATTTTTTAAGTTAACTTTTCATTTACAAATTTTTAAATTTTTTTTTAAAAATTCACCTTAATTAACTGAAGTTTATGCATTCTTCTCTCATCTTACTCCTCATTTTTCCCTACTTACCCAGAGTTATACCTAGTCCAGATGAAGATATAGGGTGAGGTACAGAAGGGGCCTGAGCACAGAAGCTTCTGTCCTGTGGAGTTAGGGTATGCCACCCTGCTGGCACATGGATGCCATCACTAACCCAGAAGTTCTTCAAGCCCCATGGTTTTGGCTTTTATGTGTAGACATAATTAATCAAATCATTGGCCATCGATGATCAACTCCATTTCTAGCTCCTCTTTCCTTCCCAGAGGTTGAGGGTGAGGTGAAGCTGAAAGTTCTAACCCTCTAATCATGCTTTATTTAGTCTTTCTAGTCACTGGCCATTATCCTGAACCGATCTAGGGACCCCACTCACCAGTTCACTTCATTAATATACAAAGGACACTCTTGTCACTCCAGAAATTCTTAGAAGCTCTTGTTTTAGGAACTGGGGATTGAGACCAAATTTATAATAAAAGATGCTTTATCACTCCTATTACTCAGGAAGCGGGAAGAGCTTTAGGAGCTCTGTGCTAGGGACCCAGGAGCTTGGGAGGAAGATAAAAATACATATTTCTTGTAATATTACAATATCACAGGCTTGAATACCAGGGTGTGAGGATCATTAGAAGCCATCTTGGAGGGTAGCTACCAGAGTCTCATATATTTCCTTATAAAATACCTAAAGTTCTTTCACATTTACTGCTTCTTTAATCCACCCAGAATGGGGTGTGTATGTGTGCATGCGTGAGTGCCCATACGTGTATTGTGTATGGTGTTAAAGGAATCTAATCTTTTATTCTTTCAAAGATACGCTAATCGTCCCAGTTCCATTTGTTAAATAATTCATCAGCATTGTTCCATTTATATATGGGTTTGCTTCTGGGTTCTCTGTACTTCTCTGCTATGATCTGAATGTTTGTCCTTCCCTACCTCCCCAAATTCCTATGTCGAAACCTAATCCCGGATATGATAGTGTTAAGAAAAGGGGCTTTGGGTGAGGTGATTAGGTCATGAGGGCTCTGCCTGCATAAATGGGGGCAAGAAGGTACCCCAGTGAAGTAGTTAGCTTCTTCTTCTGTATGAGGACACAACAAGAAGGGTGCCATCTATGAAGAATGGGCCCTTCCCAAACATTGAATTTGCTGGTGCCTTGTACTTGGACTTCCAGCCTCCAGAACTATGAGAAATAAATAAGTTGTTTCCTATGTTTATAAGCTCCCTACTTTATGGTATTTTTGTTACAGTTGCCCAAGCAGACTTAAGATGTTTTCCTGTAGCCTATTTTTCTATTCTTAGGCCAATACCGCTTTACAAGTTTTGATCTCTCTTAGGCAAGTCTCCCCTTTTTGTTCTTCATGTTTGGCTTGGTTCTCTTGTCTCCAAAGGGCCATTAAGAGAGACTAGTTGGCTGGGTGTAGTGGCTCACACCTGTAATCCCAGCACCTTGAGAGGCTAAGGTGGGCAGATCACTTAGCCCAGGAATTTGAGACCAGGCTGAACAACATAGCAAGACTCCACTTCTACAAAAAATACAAAAGTTAGCTGGGCATGATGGTGTGCACTTGTAGTCCCAGCTGCTCAGAAGGCTGAGGTAGGAGGATTGCTTGGGCTCAGAAGGTCGAGGCTGCAGTGAGCTGTGATTGTGCCACTGTGCAGCAGCCTGGGTGACTGAGCAAGACCCTGTCTCAAAAAGGAATGATTAAATAAATCCATCAATCCATGTGAATTTTAGAATAGTTTTCCAGGTTTCATCAAAAATCTTGTTGGAATTTTGCTTATTTTAAGGAATATAAAAATATGACCTTTTTAACTTAAAAAGTAATAGATACTTACTAAAGGTATTAGATACATTTAAAAAACTGTTAAAAAAATCCATAGGTCTGTCACTCAAACATCAACATTATTGTGGCATTAGGAATCCATAAAGATTTGATATTGTAAAAGTGAAATCATCTCTGCAACAAAAGGTATATACTGGGTAAAAAATAGGGTTAATATTCTTATACAATGTGTTTCTATAAATCATTAAGAAAAAGATAAATGACCCAATAGAAGAAAGGACAAAGAATGTGAAGAGGCATTCGACAGAGGAGGGAAGTACAAATGGCTAAGAACAAATAAAAAGAGGAGGAAAATGTGAAGTAAAACAAAATGAACCAACGCTTCCCCATTTTTACAGCATTGTATATGAAATGAAAAAAGTTGGAGACAGTCTTAAGTACTCACCAAAAGATGAATGGACAAATGCATTCATTCGTACTATGGAATTCTAACCAACCATTAAAAAAAGATTATGTGCTAACATGAAAGAATGTCTACGGTTAACTTTAAAAATGTAAAGTAAAACAAGGGTTTATATATGTGGTATCATGTTTATAAAGAAAATTATATATACATAATTTTTTCCATAGAAAAAAATTTTAGAAGGCTGTATAGCTCTATTAACAGTAGTTACCAAGAGTGTAGGAGTATGCCATAGAAGAGACTTTAACTGTATTATTTGGATTTTTTAAAAAGAATTATGCCCTACTTTGCAATTAAAACAAATTTAAAACATTTTTGGTGTAATTCCTCTTAGTGTTTGTTTTTTTCCCTAGGCATAAGTTTATTTACTTATTTTTTTAAACAGTAGTAATCTATAGAAAGGAACAATTGTGTTCTTAAAATTTTTCACTCAGTGGAAGGATTCATTCAAAGGAATATTTGAATGCAAATTGGAGTTAGAATCAATCTAGGTTATAATTCCAGATCTACTGAAAATTTTATCTTGACATAATTCAGCCCTGTATAAAAGTTAGAACAATTACAAAGTTTATATGCTCATTACTCAAATTTTAACATTTTTCCATAGTTGTATTATCTTTCTTTTTTCCTCTTCTTCCTTTCTTCCCTCTGTTCCCTCTCTTTCTCCCCTTCTGTATATATTTTAAATATATTTATATAGATTTTAAACATATTTTTAAATACTTAAATATATTTATGTTCAAATATATAGAATTTTTTCCTGAACCATTTTAGGGTAAATTTGAGACATGATGCCTCCTTTAGTCTTATATACTTAAGTGCATGTTTCCTGAAACAAAAGTGGTATCCTACATAATTATAGTTACCAAAATCAAGAAATTAACATTGATATAATATGGTTATGCAGATATTGCCAATAATTGCCTTTATAGCTCTCATTCTACAAAAAATAATCTTGAATCATATGTTGAATTCAATTGCCATGTCTTTCTAATAATCTTTAATCAGGAGGCACATCATATTGATTTGTCCTAGTCCTAGTAATGTTAATTTTGATCACCTGGTTACAGTAGTGTTTACCAACTTTCTTCTTCATTATAAAGTTATTTTTCCTTCTTTATAATTAATAGGAATCTTGTCGTATGATTCTTTGAGATTATGTGAATATCTGGTTGCTCCTCAAACTTTGGCCCACCAATTTTGGCATCCATTTAGGGTTCTTACTTGAATACATTATTAATGATTTATGGTAGTTTTCTAATTCTGACATTCCTTTTTCATTTTAGTTGGCTTTTTACTATAAGGAGGAAATTTCTTTCTCCCTCGTGAATTCTGTCTTACTCAATGGGTTATAATCTTTTACTATCATCATTTATTTTGAAATGCTTAAATGATTCTAGATTGGGCCCATGAAAGCACTTTCAGGCCGGCTTTTAAATTCTTTTGACATGTCTCCATCAATTTTTGAGGACTTGCTGGGACAACAAGATATTCCAGTCTCGTCATATACTTTCCTACCTCTAGAAGCAGCTCTCTAGGGAGCTCTGGTTCTTCTTAGTGGAAAATAGTATTAACTTTCCTTTATTTTTAATTCTTTTATTTACCTTTGTTCTTCATGCAGTATTTTTCTTTTCCTTATCCTGTCCTGATCCATTCTATTTTTGCATGAATACCGTACTGTTTTAATCATTTAGGTTTTGTATTTTGGTTAATTATTTATCTTATTAAATATTTCTGTGTATTTGACACTAGTGAGAAACCACTCTTGCTTGTCCCCTGGAACCTTATGATCTCCTGTTTCTTTTTGATCTGTTTGAATGTTCTTCTCATTCTTCTTTTGAATTCTTCCTGGATGAGATTTTTAAAGGGTAGAGTTCCCTAGGATTCTCTTTTTGCTCTGGAAAACCAGGCATTGTCACTGCTCAGGTATTGCTGGAGGAGAATCTACACTGTAGGAGTCCCTACAAACTTTAGAGACGGTTTGACAATATATATCAAACTTACAAATGTATCTTCTCGTTTCTGGAAGTGGATCCTATAGGTAAACTTAGGAATGTTTGTTATGTGATATATACAAGGTGATTCCTACAACTATTGTGTGTAACAGCAAACGATTTGAATAGTATCAACAGTAATCCAAAAAGTTTGTTAACATTTTTCTCCCTTTTTCTATTCATATCTGCATGAGGCTGGATTTTCTTCATATATGCCAAGACAACATACAGCATCAGAGTAGGGAAAAGCCCAAATGTCCATTAATAGGAAATTGGCTAAGTAAATCATGGTACAGCAATACAATGGAATATTACATAGTCGAAAAAGAATGGTAGGATGAGGTCCATTCAGTGACAAGAAAAAAAAAAGAATCGGAAGAATAGTATTTATATGGAAAATCATGGAAAAACCTCAATTTATGTAAAGGAGAGGAGATAAGATGTTATAGTTGTATTTGCTTATATTGTCATAAACTCTGGAATGAAAAACAACTAATATTTTATCCAGAAAGCAGGGTTAAACAGGCAGATGGATGGGTGTGATGAGACTTTTTACTGTATACCTTTTTAACGTTTGATTTTTGACATACACATGTACAATCTGTTTAATTCAGTTTTAAAAAATGATTTCCAGTATAACTTAAACCTAGTTTTGACACAGCACACACTTATACTTTGTACCTCTAAACCATTGGCCTACAGCACAGTATTCTTAACACAGTATGGAAAGCCTTTTGTCTGTCTCTATAGGATGATACTCTGCAACTTCCAGCTTCATCCTTTACATTCTAGTGACACTGAATTTCTGGTAGTAGTTCTCCACATGTGGTACTGTTTTATATTTGTGTATGCTTTACCTGTATCTTCTTCATATCTTTTAAGAATCAGTTTGTGTCATCTTCTCTGGGAAGCTGGCCTCAACCTTTGCAAGGCTTAGTTGAGTGATTCAGTCATAATACTCTGTATAATTGTCTATTATTGCTCTTATATTGCATTGTAATCATTAGCTTTTTTATTGTACTTAGACACAGATAACCAAAGATTTGCTTTAGTGTATTTTTTTCACTGTATTCCCAGTAGAAAAGCATTAATGTATGTTATTTGATGTCTTTTTCTGCAGGGTAGTTGCCCTGCCTCAAACAGCTTATAGTCTTTAATGGAGACATGCAGGAATGCAACTAACATAAGAGAGAGTGTACTAAGTGAGGTAATAGGCAAGGTCATACTTTTAAAGGAAGCCAGTCTTTGAAATGAATCTTAAAGATGGTCCCAGAGTCCAGATGGAAACATTCTAACAGGGCCTATTTAGGAGCCCCAGATAATGTAGGGGTAGCTTCAGTATAAAGGATACATGCCTCAAGGTGAGTCAGGGAGAAAAGGAAAAACAGGGACAGATTGTGAGAGGTCTAACATTCCAGTCTAAGGAATTTGAATTTGAATATTATCTTGTGGGTGAAGTAGGATTCTTTAATGCTTTTGAACGAGGAATCAGTATCTGTACTTTCAGGATGATTTTATGCTTTGTGTAATGTCTTCCAAAAAAGATGAGAGATGGGGCACCTGTTAATATATTTTATATTATAAAGTACAGTGTTGAATATGGGATCAAAAAAGGAACAGCCAGCCACATTTCCAAATCCCATGTTTTTGACCAGATAGTCCCTTCAACCTAGAATTATGTCTCATTCAAGCAGTGTGATTCTATTCATCTCAAGTTGTCATAAGAAAGACAACTTATATGTTACTTCCACTAGTGATCCCTGATAAATTCCTTCCAAATGTTATTAATAACTGTATCCTGTTTTGACTGCATTGTATTTATTTCTGTTACAATTTTTCTCATACCCTACCTGTTTTACAGTGCAGGGGTCCCCAACACCCATGCTGTGGACCAGTACCAGTCCATGGCCTGTTAGGACTGCCCCCTGCCAGGCCACACGGCAGGAGGTGTGCATTACCACCTGAGCTCCACCTCTTGTCAGATTAGCTGTGGTGTTAGATTCTCATAGGGATGCAAACCCTATTGTGAACTGTGCACGTGACAGATCTAGGTTGCACTCTCCTTATGAGAATTTAATGATAAATGTAATGCACTTGCATCATCCCCAAACCATCTTCACTCCCCACCGCCCCCGTCTCCCCCCAATCCCATGGAAAAATTGTCTTCCATGAAGCCGGTCCCTGGTGCCAAAAAGGTTGAGGACTGCTGTTAAAGTGTTTGCCTTAATCACAACCACAATTGCTTCCTCCTGGAAACCCTTGTTTTACTTTATTTAACCCACTCGGGTAACACTTATTACATTGTATTACTGTCTGATGGTTTTCTGTTTATTTCACCAAACATTTCTTAGGTGCCAGACCTCAAGGAAGTCATTCTTTGTCAGTTCATGTGTTTGACTATACTACTTGATTATTATTAGATATACGAATTCCTTAAGGGCACCTTATCTTTTTTTATTGCACTTAGCACAACTCATGATACATTTAGGCACTCAGACATATCAGAGACATCAGCGGAACAGTACTGGTTAAAAGTTGAGTTTAAATTCTGGCCCTATCACTATCTCTTGGATCCACTGTAGGGAGGTTATTTAGTCTGTGTAAGCTATAATTTTTTCTTCTGTAAAATGGGGGAAATAATAGTTTCCATCTGAATTAGTCTGTTCAAGCTGCCATAACAAAATTTCATAGTCTAGGTGTTTTCTCACAGTTCTGGAGGCTGGATGTTTGAGATAAGGTGCCAGCATGATGGGGTTCTGGTGAGGGCTCTCTTTCTGGCTTCTTGCTGTGCCTCACATAATGGAGAGTGAGCAAGCTCTTTTGGGTCTCTTCTGATAAGGGCACTACTCTTATGAGGGTGAGGGCCCCACCCTCCTGAACTTCATCTAACTCTAATCTTTTCCCAAAGGCCTCATTTCAAATATCACACTAGGGGGTTAGCGTTTCAACATACGGATTTTGTTACAGTCTTTAGTGGAGACAAGCAGGATTAATTAATTTATGGAAAGCATGCAGCAGTGTGCCTCTAACATAAAAAATGTCTTATTTAACCTGTCATCATCATCATCATTTTGACTTGGCCTAAAATTTCGCATATGGGCTAGTGGAGAAAAATTAGAACTAATTTGGTGATTTTGCTCTTCATTGATGGAAAGTATGTGATAACATTCATTAAGAAGGGCAATGTAGGAAGAAAGAGACAGTTGTAGGCATGCTGTGGAGAGATGCTTCCTTCACTGTATCAGTAGAGAAGAAGATGGTTGTCAACCTCAGGTTTATGGATGAATCCTCAGTATGCTGTAAATAGAAGAAAAGAGATGCTTTAGTGTTCTTTATATCTATGTGGCCTTTAAAATGCAGTCCTTTAATTTGTTTTTATTCAAATCTTTATTTTTTATTTTCTTTTCTCTGATTTAATTGATAGATCGGGTTTTTCAGTGAGCCTGGGAAAGCAGAAGTACCATTTTTATGTCTATAAATAATACTAAATTTATTTTGCTGGATTTTGTAAAGTTCTGTATTAAACATTATGGATCTTAAATATATTTTGGTATTTTAAAATTAGAGTATAATCAGTTTCTGTTCTCTAGCCTTTGGATTTAGACTTTTTCTTCTCTAAGTTAATGAGTCCAGGACTGATTTTGTTAGCCTTTCTGGAGCTGTTAAGAATTCCTATTCTTTCGTTTTTGGTAGTCATTGTCTCCACATTTGCTTTATGGAGTCCTCTTTGGTGGATCCCACAGGTGGGGAGGAGACACAGGATTCATAAGATGGCCGGTGGGTGAGTGACTTAGAATTTGGGTTAGAACTGGCCGGGCGCAGTGGCTCATGCCCGTAATCCCAGCCCTTTGGGAGGCCGAGGTGGGCAGATCACAAGGTCAGGAGATTGAGACCATCCTGGCTAATAAGGTAAAACCCCATCTCTACTAAAAATACAAAAAATTAGCTGGGCGTGGTGGCAGGTGCCTGTAGTCCCAGCTACTTGGGTGGCTGAGGCAGGAGCATGGTGTGAACCCAGGAGGCAGAGCTTGCAGTGAGCCGAGATTGAGCCATTGCATTCCAGCCCAGGAGACAGTGTGAGACTCTGTCTCAAAACAAACAAACAAACAAACAAATAATAGGAACAAGGACGGGTGCGGTAGCTCACGCCTGTAATGCCAACACTCTGGGAATTTGAGGCAGGAGGATTGCTTGAGTTCAGAAGTGTGAGACCATACTGGGGAACATGACGAAACCTCGTCTTTACAAAAAATACAAAAATTAGCTAGGCGTGGTGGCACACACCTGTAGTCCTAGCTACTCAGGTGGCTGAGGTGGGAGGATCCATTGAGCCTGGGAGGTCGAGGCTGCAGAAAGCCATATTTGCACCAATGCATTCCAGCCTGGGTGACAGAGCAAGACCCTGTCTCAATAATAATAATAATTGGAATACAATGTGAAATTTGGACATTACATTGTCTTGGTGAAATCTGTAAATACAATGTAATGGTTTTGAGTTTTTTCCTTATGTGAATTTTATTAATAATTTATATGGCAGAGCTATCATGCCATCTGTATGTACTAGGATGTTACCAAAATACATGCAGTTGACAGTTTGGGAAAGCATAGAGCAAATAGTATATCCTAAGTAGATCTTTTCTTTGGCTGTAGTGGTTAAAAAGATATCCTTAAATTGTGGTTTGGGGCTTTTCTTTTTTTTAAACAACAAAAATTTCAACTCTTAATAAATACTATTTTACTTGTGATAAGAAGGCAGGTATGCTTCTGGAACCACAGAAATCAAACTTGAGAGAAAAAATACAAACAATTATAGAGAGACAGTCTCTGATTAACATGAACATAAAATAACCATCAGGTGACAAACCTTTTCACAAGAAAAATGATCTGTGCCCAAGATCAATTTTATAGACATTAACTCAAAGCTGTGATTTTATACACAAAGCAGTATTGTAGCAATGGTATAAACACAGGAAAAATTCTTGTGAAAGGAGTGGAGCCTGCAAATGTGGAACTATGTGGAAAAGGGAAAAGTTTGTAGTATGTAGAACTATGGCAGGTGTTTATATTTCACAGTGTAAAAAATAAACTTAAATTGATATACTGGTTTACTAATGAATTTATGAATTTTCAATGAATTTATGTAGAGCTTATTCTGTTAGATGGGACTAATAGTAAGAAATACTACAAAGTAGGAAAAGTTTGTCTCTAGGACCCTTTTGTGACCTTTTTTTTCTTGCTCTTTCACACTCCTCATGTAATGGTCACCATCCATAGATCCTTCTCTGTTCACTCTGTTCAAAAGAGATCTCCAAGACCTGTAGGCTTTGTTAAGTTATCTTAAAAATGATGAATAAACACACTAGAGTATTGATGGATTGTTTCACATTTAATTGGGACTCTTGAAAGTCCAAACAGAATTTTCTTATGGTAAAATTCAAACATTGACGTCTGTTAGGGGAGATATTTATAGAGAAGAGAACTTTTTGAGTCTGCTCCTTAATTTACAACCTGTTGTCAGTTGGGAAGGAAATTAACATTGTTAAATGCTTATATGCTAGTGTCTGGGTGTCTGTGCTAGGTCATACACAGTATAATTTGATTCTCACAATGAGCTTGTGAGTATGACATTCTTATTCTCATTTTATAAAACTTTTTTTTGTGGGGGGCGATGGGGTCTCACTGTGTTGCCCAGGCTGGGGCACAGTCACTATTCACAGGTGTGGTCATGGCTCACTGCAGCCTGGAACTCCTGGGCTCAAGCTATCTTCCCACCTCTCCCTCCCCAGTAGCTGGGACTACAGCTTATTCAAGTTTTATAAGAGATAAACTGAAAGAGGCATAGAAAGATGAAGTGACCTTCCTAAAGAGGTCACAGTGGAGGTAAATCATTAAAATCAGGATTTCAGATTTCAAAGCGTCTACTTTTACCACCAAGCCAGTATTTCATAGTCATTTTACTCTTCTGTTTTACTCATACTCGGTGAACATGACAATATCTTTAATTACCCTCCAGAATTCCTTTACATGTCTCTAAAGAGATGATTCTTCAGTTTCTTTTTGTTTTATATATATATATATATATTTTTTATATATATATGTTTTTATTATACTTTAAGTTCTAGGGTACATGTGCACAACGTGCAGGTTTGTTACATATGTATACATGTGCCATGTTGGTGTGCTGCACCCATTAACTCGCCATTTACATTAGATATATCTCCTAATGCTATCCCTCCCCCCTCCCCCCACCCCACAACAGCCCCTGGTGTGTGATGTTCCCCTTCCTGTGTCCAAGTGTTCTCATTGTTCATTTCCCACCTATGAGTGAGAACATGCGGTGTTTGGTTTTCTGTCCTGGTGATAGTTTGCTGAGAATGATGGTTTCCAGCTTCATCCATGTCCCTACAAAGGACATGAACTCATCCTTTTTTATGGCTGCATAGTATTCCATGGTGTATATGTGCCACATTTTCTTAATCCAGTCTGTCATTGTTGGACATTTGGATTGGTTCCAAGTCTTTGCTATTGTGAGTAGTGCCTCAATAAACATATGTGTGCATGTGTCTTTATAGCAGCATGATTTATATTCCTTTGGGGATATACCCAGTAATGGGATGGCTGGGTCAAATGGTATTTCTAGTTCTAGATCTCTGAGGAATCGCCACACTGTCTTCCACAATGGTTGAACCAGTTTACAGTGCCACCAACAGTGTAAAAGTGTTCCTGTTTCTCCACATCCTCTCCAGCACCTGTTGTTTCCTGACTTTTTAATGATCGCCATTCTAACTGATGTGAGATGATATCTCATTGTGGTTTTGATTTGCAGTTCTCTGATGGCCAGTGATGAAGAGCATTTTTTCATATGTCTTTTGGCTGCGTAACTGTCTTCTTTTGAGAAGTGTCTGTTCATATCCTTTGCCTGTTTTTTTGATGGGGTTGTTTTTTTCTTGTAAATTTGTTTGAGTTCTTTGTAGATTCTGGATATTAGCCCTTTGTCAGATGAGTAGATTGCAAAAATTTTCTCCCATTCTGTAGGTTGCCTGTTCACTCTGATGGTAGTTTCTTTTGCTGTGCAGAAGCTCTTTAGTTTAATTAGATCCCATTTGTCAATTTTGGCTTTTGTTGCCATTGCTTTTGGTGTTTTAGACATGAAGTCTTTGCCTATGCCTATGTCCTGAATGGTATTGCCCAGGTTTTCTTCTAGGGTTTTTATGGTTTTAGGTCTAACATTTAAGTCTTTAATCCATCTTGAATTAATTTTTGTATGAGTTGTAAGGAATGGATCCAGTTTCAGCTTTCTACATATGGCTAGCTAGTTTTCCCAGCACCATTTGTTAAATAGGGAATCCTTTCCCCATTTCTTGTTTTTGTCAGGTTTGTCAAAGATCAGATGGTTGTAGATGTGTGGTATTATTTCTGAGGGCTCTGTTCTGTTCCATTGGTCTGTATCTCTGTTTTGGTACCAGTACCATGCTGTTTTGGTTACTATAGCCTTGTAGTATAGTTTGAAGTCAGGTAGCATGGCATCCAGTTTCTTTTTGAATCACCACATGAGACCATTCTGCTTGTCATTGATTAGTCTTACTTGAACCTTTTGTGGTATTTTTAGCTAAGAGTATATAGAAATGCCTTGTTAGCAGAGATGACTGACAACTACAATATTCAGTTCTAAATATATTGTTAGGTTTTTGTTTTGTTTTGTTTTTTGCAGATAGCTAACTCTGAAGTTTGTACTTAGAGCAAGTAAGTATTGGCAAGTTATGTGTGAATAATGTTTGGAATTATTACAGCAAGAATTAACAAATTTCTTGTTATCAACACTTTAGAATAGATGTATTCAGTATTATAAGCAGTCTTAAAATATCCATTCAACAAAGAGTTACAAAGTACTTACATGTGCCAGGGCTATGTTAGGTTCTGCACAGAATAGAACATGGAAAACACATGGTCTGTGCCCTCAATGAGAAGGTAGTTTAGGAGGGAGGCAAACATGATGTAATTAATAGAATACACTCTAATAATCATAGTAATGGAGGTGTGTAGTAGGAAGAGTGGGAGCAATAGGAAAGGAATAGTTAACTGCATTTGAGGGACTCTGGGAAAGATTCAGAGAAGAGGTTGTAGTTTCAACTGAGGCTTAAATATTTTGACTACAAGAACATTCGTGGTCTGCTTATACATTTTACATATACAACATTTGCACAAACAGCATTTCCCTCACATGTACATATGAATGCAGTATTTAGCTTGAACATCTAGCCTCTTCCTTTTTCCCTGAAATCATGCATTATCATGTGGATTCTCCTCCCCCCATATATCTTTTTAGAAGACTTCTCTCAGAGCTTCTCAGTTGTTTCCCTTTAGTTCTCTGCTCTCCAGCTTTTAAATTTCTCTGGCTTTTGGAAGCAGGCAGACTCTGTTTCTACAGTCTTTAAAACAGTAATGAATGAAGAATGACAACGGTGGTGGGAAATGTAGAAGAGAACAGAGTAATGGAACTAGGTCCCTGAATATTTGATCATTTTTGCTGTCCCAAAAATGTTTTTTTTTTTTTTCTATTTAGAATAATCTCCAGGCTTAAAAGTGTGACTAGGTATCTCTCAAACACAAAATGAAGTTAAGAAACAGCTGTCTGGAAAGGAACATTGTATTCTGTGGTATACTATTTTCTGGCACATTTTGGTTGTAAGGCTTTTTGGTGATACAAAGGATTCCACTCTGATTGAGCTTACATATACATGCCTATCTCTGTCTTCTCATATACATGCAGCTTCTCCCAGACAGGCACATTGGTGGATGTTAAAGCAATTAGTTTTACTTGAAAAAAAGTATGATACTATGGCAAGAGCTCTGGATTGGAATTAGGAGACTGAAATTCAGGTCCTACCTTGACCTATGATTAATTTGTTCTCTTTGAGTTAGTCAGTTAACCTCTCTTAGGTTTCAGTTTTCCTGTTTATTAAATAATGGGATAGGATAATGCCCTCTAAGGCTTTTCCTACCCCAGAAATTCTATCATTTTACTATTGATGGAGTTGGCTGTTCAACTCACAAATCTTTATTGAGTGCTTCTCACCTTCAGGCACTGTGCTAGGTGCAGTCAAAAAGAGACATAGAGGAGAGAAGTAGATCAATGGAATATAATTGAGAATCCGGAATTTAAACCATACATATATGGCTAATTGGTATTCAACAAGGATGGCAAGGCGATTCAGTGTGGAAGAATAGTCTTCAAGAAATGATGATGGGACAACCCGATTTCCACATATAAAAGAATGAATTTGGACTCCTTACCTCACACCATGTGTAAAAATTAATGCAATGTGTATTAAACACCTAAATTATAAGAACTAAAACTCTTAGAAGAAAACATAGGGGTGAATCTTTGTAATTTTGGATTGGGCAATGGTTTATTACATTTGACACCAAAAGCACAAGCAGTCAATGAAAAAGAAAGTATACTTCATCAAAATAAAAAACTTGTATGTCAAAGGCCGCTGTCAAGAAAGTGAGAAGGTCTTCAGGAAACAACAATTTTTAAGAAAGTGAAAAGAATAGAGTATGGGAGAAAATATTTGTAAATCATGAATCTGATAAGGGCCTAGTATCCAGAATATATTAAAAATTCTTATATCTCAACAATGAAAAGACAACCCAATTAAGAAATCTGAATAGACAATATGAATATTTTCTCCAAAGAAGATAATCAAATGGCCAATAATACATGAAAAGATGCTCAACGTCATTAGCCATCAGAGAAGTGCAAATTAAAATCATGTGAGATATCAACTCACCTATTAGGATGTCTGTAAACAATGATAAACAGTGTTGGTGAGGATATGGAGAAATTGGAATCCCCATACGCTGCTGGTAGGTTTGTAAAATGGTACAGCTGCTTTGGAAAACAGCAGTTCCTCAAAAACTTAAAACATAGAGTTGTAGGTCTCAGCAGTCTACACCTGGGTGTATTTCTAAAGGCATCAAAGTCATATGGTTGTACAAAACTTGTATGTGAATGTTTGTAGTAGTAGTATTCGTAATTGCCTCCCAAACCACAAATGTCCAATCAACTGTAGAGTGGATAAGCAAATTATGATTATTCATAAAATGGAGCATTATTCAGACAGAAAAGAAATGAAATAACCTTGAAAAGCTCGGCTAAGTGAAAAAAACTACACACAAAAGGCTACATATTGTATGATTCATTAATATGAAATATCCAAAATAGGAAAATCCTTAGGGACAGAAAGTGGTTTCATGGTCAGGAGATGAGGGGATGAGGGAATGGAGAATGACTGCTAATGAGTTCTGGATTTATATTTGGGGCGATGAAAAGTTCTGGAATTAGTAGTGGTAGTTGCACTGCCTTGTGAATGTAATAAAAACTATGGCTTGTATACTTTAAAATGGCGATTTTTATGGTATGTGAACTATCGCTCTCTTTTTTTTTTTTTTTTTGTGGCGGATCACTGTCTTGCCCGGACTGGAGTACACAGGCGTGATCTTTGCTCACTGCAACCTCTGCCTCCTCGGTTCAAGTGATTCTCCTGCCTCAGCCTCCTGAGTAGGTGGGATTACAGGCGCATGCCTCTACACCCAGCTCATTTTTGTATTTTTAGTAGAGATGGAGTTTCACCATGTTGGTCAGGTTAGTATCGAACTCCTGACCTGTGATCTGCCCACCTCTGCCTCCCAAAGTGCTGGGATTACAGGCGTGAGCCACCACGCCCGGCCTATATCTCAGTTTTTTAAAAGTTGTGGCACCTAACTAAAATGAACTGTTTTTGATAGGGATAGAGAAGGGTTCTGTAGGAGTATACAGAATGACATTTTGACCTACTGTGTGAAGTTGACAGCAAACTCCTGAAATAAGTAATATTTCAACAGAGACCTGAAAAATGAATTGGAGTTACTCATGTGAAAAAACTGTTAGCAATGGAAATGAGGAAACATGTAAGAATATATCAGTTAAAATTAACAGCTGAAAGCCAATTTTAGCTGTAACAGGTATAAGCTCCTACTTGTGTCACTATGTAAGATTTTGTCAAAGACTTTTTGCCTTAAGTAATGTAATTATCCATGGAGAACCATAGCAATATAATATTTGTTATAAAATATATATATTATATATATGTATGTATATCTCCTAGCTTCTGGGGAAAACAGGGCATTTATTTTTTATTTTTTGATTCTAAATATTTTTAAATTATAGTTTATGGCATTTTATAATTTTAAATATTCTTGAAGCCAGAACTAAATTCTAGAGTTTGTTTATGCTTTATTTTTTTCCCCCTCTCTATATATTTTATAAGGCAATTTTCTAAGCTTTGATCCTATGGAAATTTTACCGTTTTCATTACTTTTGACAGTTTGAGATTAGTTTCAGAACCCTGTAAGCAAATAGTAAATATAATTAGGGAAAATTAAAATATTTCTGTTTCCTGGTAGGCAATAAGACATTAAGAAAAAAATTCAGACTTATACCAAAGTAGAGGCAAGTATAATCAGCACCCATGTAATCATCACCAGCTTCAAAAATTTTCAACTCATGACCAATCTTATTTTATCTATATATCCACTTACTCCTTTACCCACTGGGTTATTTTGAAGCAAATCTCAGATACTGTATCATATGTAAATTTTTTATCTCTAAATGACAAATCTTTCAAAAAATATATACTATTGGGTATTTTTTTAACTTGAAAATACTTCTTTCTTGTGAAGTATTAATTAAAAAGTTATCTATTAGTGGAAATACTCTATATAGTTTTTTATTTGCTTATATATCCATTCTAATAAATATTAGGTATGTTTATAAAAATAATAAAATTGAGGTTATGAGAATGTGGTTCATATATTAGTCTATGCTCATCTTTGTGATTAATTATGATCAACGAAACCATAGGCATGATAAAACTCTTCTCTATAGCCACTGATTATCTCCTTTTATCATAACCAATGGCCTTAACTCTGTTATGCCTTCTGGGTGTGTCTATCATTTAATTTATTGATTGCCCCCTCCTCATTGAAACATTCATCTCCCATGGCTTCCCTGATGTTTGGCTTTCCTGTTTCATTGCTGCATTGGACTGTGCTCTTTTACTGACATACTTTCTTTTGATACCTACATAATGTGACTATAACCCATCCTTACTCTGTTCTTGAGCCTTTTCTGCCCTCTGCAAATTCTTAGCTCTTCTGCTGTCATGGCTACAAATCTTCTTTGTGTATCAGTGAATTCCAGGTACTTATTAAAATAACAAATCAAAGAACTTCTCTTTAGTGTTGTAGTTGAAAAAAACTTCCCCATGGGTATGCCATTGTCATCATAAGTTCAGATTTTTAAAAACTGAGATTATCTTCTTTTTCATTAATATCAATTTCCTTTCAGCTTTCCTCTACTGACAAATCACCAGACTAGAAACATTCATATCTTCTACCTACTTCAGTCCCCTGTGCACGTGCTATTATCTTCTACTGTTAATTATTCCTTCAAAATACATGCTATTTATGTTTTCATTTATTGCCTATTCTAGGCATTTTCTTCTTCTAGGAAACTTTTCTTCACTACTCTAGTTGCCTAAATGTTCATCTCTGTGATTCCATAAAGTCTATGTGTTCTCCACAATCAAGATAATATTTTATGTGTCTTTTCCTCATTTGAATTCAAGCTCTTGAGTGGCTGAGATTGGAGATTGGGGGTTGTTTATGTTTGTGCCATAGAACATGAGACATTGTAATGTTTGTTAAATGTTAATTGAACTCCTAATCTCTTTACCTGTATTACTGCAATATCTACCTAAGGTCTTGCCTTTCCCTGGCAGAACATTGTGTATAAAGTAATCTTAATTCTTTGTGAAGCCAATGAAGACAGTAGATTCTCTATTAAAGTACCCTGTACATTTCCATCATAGGACTAATTGCAATTTAAAATTATTATTAATTTTCTTTTTTATTTTCTTTCTCCCCCTGGGATACCCTCTGTAATGGTAGTCTTACACACAGTAGGGCCTTAGTAAATGTTTATTGAATATGAATGGATGCCCCTCCTCACCAGTTGAGAGCAGTGCACATATATGTAATACAAATTATTTAACAGTGATTACAAACCTTAAGCCTTTGCTCTATTTGCTACCAGACTGATTTTCTAAAATAGTGTTTTTAAAAGTTCACTCAAACTTACTCTGTGCCAGACTTACAATAAGTTTTGAGAATACAGGCACAAATAAAGACATAATTCCTGCATTTTATGGAATTTGGAAATAAAGAGGAAGAAATGCTTAAACCTCTTTGGACAGGCCAAGAAAAGCTTTGTAGAGGACACCTGATATCTTTAAGGTTCTTTTCAGCCAAAAAATTGTATAATTCACAGGTGCCCTTTTCTGTGGCAGTAGGTAAAAACCTTGGTAGCTGCAAAGAGAAGACAGCTGCCAGCAGGGTATTTTTGGCTGTTCCTGAGGCTGCCCTCATTCTGATTAACTTGAACGTTTACTTCGGCCTGAGGAGTAACTTTGTAACTTAAATCTAATTTCTTACTAAATAGAGATTATTTTTAGATTATCCATTATTTTGTTAGCAGAGATAATTGAAAGGAGAATTTAGTAATGTTTTCTGTGACTTTACTGAAGCCAGTTCAAACTTTATTGTTTAATTTTTGTTTGGTTAACAAGGGAATCAGGAGACATTAGCACTTCCTACTAATAATACATCATATAACTTATTTATCCTGTTAATTTTCTCTTTCAATCCCGCTAGAATGTAAACTCTATAAGAAGGGATTTTTGTTCTTCGCTCAATAAATATTTGTGAAATGAATACTTAGGAAGTCATTGGTAGCCTTACCAGGGTAGTTTAAATAAAGTGGTGGAGATGGAAGCTGGTTTACATGGTTGAGGGTTGCCTGGGTTTGCGGTTCAAAATCAAACAGTAATAGTAGTATTTTTTTTTCTTTTCCTTTTGAAAGTTTGGTGGTAAGGAAGATATTTATGAAAATTCTCTTCTTAGTCACTTCTATTTCTTTTTACTGCTGGTAACTTATAAAGGCTTTTAAAATTAACAAGTCCTCTTGTTTCTTTTTAAAATTTAAATAAGTTTTATACACATTAAATGTATTACTGTAAGCCATATAATCTCAAATACTTAGGACTTTTTAGATTTTTAGAATAAGTAAAACTTTTAGGTATTTTTCTCTTTACCCTAAACACAGCCGTGAAATGATGTATCAATAAGTGGTTTTGGATTATTTTTTAACATCAATAAATATGCACCAAAAGTAAATATATGTATAAATGAATTTACATTATTCAGAATTCTAGAATTAGACATCTGTCTAATGAATGCTGTTCTAAATGTTGCTAAATGATTAATAGTAATTAAAAGGTTAAATACAAGCTGGAGAAAGCTTTGAATTTTGAAATGTTTGCAACAGCTAGTAATCTGACTGATGCAGACGTTTTTGTCAAAGTTGAAAAAGTTAGAGCTAATTAATTTCTTGGGAGACATATGATGAGATTGTAGGTGTGATAACATATTTGAGTAACATATGGTAGTTATGGGGCACCTTTCTAATGACTGAGCAGCCAGTTAAATATAGACTTTTTTGGTTTTATTTATTTTATTACCATTCTTTGTTACTGTGTATTTTTAAACCAATTTTGTTTTCTGTAATAGAGGTCAGTACTCGGGATTTTAACAATTTATATTTAAAATGTTAATAGGAATATGGTACTTCTCTTTGAAACTGAAATAAATTTTAGTGAAAGTTTTCTTAAAAATACAGCTATTTCCTACCAACGTATTTGTGTATTATACTTTTAAGATTAAATCAAATGTATAGGGAATTGTACTCTCAGTACACAGTGTTTCACTGAGATTACTATTGAATGAGTACTTAAAAAATGTTACTTTTGATACACGGCACAAATGTATTTTTTTCCCATAAGGATTCATTATTTGCATTTTGACTAATTTTCTTCCAGCCCCTTTTACTTTATAGAGTTTTATTTCAGTTTCTGAATATTAATAATGACAAATGACAACAGATTAAAAGGGAATTAAAATTATTTTTATATCTGTTATTAAAATAGTATCTTAACACCTTGGTAGAGAAAATTTTGACATGAGAATTTTGCAAATAGAGGCATAAAGTAGCGACTTAGATGTTTTTATTTTTAAAGTTTGGAATTTTACCAAAATTTATATGATTGTAATCTGTTGTATAAGCCCCAAATTTTCTGTCATTCAGAAATATCGGCAGTGAAATCCGAGTTCAGGGTAAAAATGTTTCTGTTGTGCTGCAGAGCCAGCCACTGGAGGGTGTTCATGTTAACTTCGTAGTCTCAGTATTCTGCTGATTAGATTGATGAAAAAGTGAAGACTGTCCATTTACAAGTCTTTTGAAATTAAAGCAAAAGTACTATTCGTGTCTGAAATGGAAATAAACAGAAAAGGAGTTTTAAACCTTAAAGGAAATATGATATTTAAATTCTAAAATTAGTAAGCAAATAACTTTCTTTTGCTTTTTACTCAAAGACACTGGTCAGTAATAACTGTAATTTTGAATATACTTACAAAATTATATGCAGTTATGAGGTTCTGATAAGTACACAAACATCCCAAATTTATTTACTAAACTTTTTTGACATTGTTCTAATCGTTTTCATTTAAATTTGAGTATGCTATAGAATTTTGATGTGTACATCTGCTCTGTGACTCCTTCCTTATTTTAAATCTGTTGCAAAATTTTCCCCAATCAGTTGGCATGCTTTTAAGCCAGTAGTGATAAACAGATATCCATGAAGGGCTGGTAGAGTCTTTTGTCCTGAATGGGTTTTGAGCTCAAGCCTAAAGTAAATATTAAGGTGAACTTCCAAGTGATTCACAGTAAAGCACTAGCTTCTCATTCATTGAATATAATTGATAAAGTTTGTATTATTACATAGTTATGATAGGATTTTAAAGACAGCAGGATTCTCTGAAATATAGCTTACCAATTGGAAAATTACTTTAGTGTGATGTATTCTGAGGCTGTAAAGTTTATATCATTTTTAATTGATAAAATTGTTCTAAGTTCTTATTAGAATCTTGAGAAACAAAAATTCTACTGAGTAGGCTGTTTATTCACTTTTTAAAAATGTATGCGAATTTCAGTAGAATAAAATGATGATTTAGAAATTGGTTTTAGTTTATTAGTTAACAGTAGTAAAATAAACTTTATATTGTTTTTCTTTATTAGAGTAATAAGCCGTACAATTTTGTATAGCTAGTAGGCAATACTTAATGGAGAATGAGGGGATAATTTTTCATTCAGTAGAAAAATTTGATATTTGATTTCATAGTTGAGTAATTATACTTAGAAATATCAATTTTTTGCTTTCATAAGTTGTTAAAATATTTTCTACTCAGATAAGTCTGTCTTTATGTCATAAAGTAAGTAAATGACAGATATCAGATCCATAAGCCAACATTAAAATTCACTATAATATACTTGGCCCTAATCCTGAAAGCTCTGGTTCGTTCTAGAAATGTTTCTGGAACAGTGAGTACATGATTTTGGGAGATTAGAAGATTTACATTTTAAATACAGTGTCAATGATCTTTACCTTGCCATGCATAAATTGTGTTGCCAGATGTGCTTAGGTCAATGTTTTAACCATTCACATATCCTGTTTATTTTATGAAATTATTTCATGAGTCTTGAAGTGGGACTTATGATTGAAACGAAGGGTTTGAGAGAAAGTATGTTAATAGTCTTATTAATAGTACGGAAAACAGTCCGTTTGGAGCATGATGCGCTCTGTCACATAGAAACAGTTTTTGGATGCTTTCATAGCCATCTGTAGAGGGTGGATCATTGATTATACATCAGTCAGATAAAAAAGATAATTTTGACATTATCTCTTCTTCCTGAAATACCTTGCTTCTGAAAAATGTGTGTTAGCTTGATCAAATTATTACAAAGGAGTTTCAAAGGGGGTATTTAATAAACATATTACATAGCAAATTTATTGTCTATGATTTTTAGTATTTTCTGTTGACATAAATTTAGGAACAGATGATCAGCAATCTAAACAGAATAAATGATTATTTTTCCCCTCTAGGAATGAAAGATAACTTTAATAAACATAATTTAAGTATCCATTTCACATGATTTAGTCACTAAATACATGCCAGAAATTCTTAGACACTCAGAATTCCTAAGAAGATATTAAACGTATTCTTCAGAAATTTGGGGGTAACTGTAGATGTTTTTATTCATTTACAGTTGCCAGGTATCCTGACCAAAATGTGTTATTTTGACGTTTAGAAATTGTCCTAGCATCCCAATTTCTTATGAGGTACTCAGTTTGGATTAGTGACAGTGCAACGTTGAGACAAGAGAGATTCCAGGATAAAGGAATCAAAATTCTGTGCCTTTTTGCTTCAGTAAGAAAATACTTATTATATTTCTTAAAATGTGTACATATTTTTTAAAGTACATTCATCTTTCCTTAAAAAATTTAACATCATTAAGTTAATAGTATCTCTTCCCAGCTAACAGTTACTTCTTATTAAATATCCAACGTGGTGCTATGGGCTTTGCTTGTAGTTGTCATTTAATGTGTTTAAATGGTTAAGGGTAAAGTAACTCATGTGAGTGGGATCATACAATATTTTTCCCTTTGTGACTGGCCTATTTCATTTAGCTTAATGTCTTTAGGGTTCACCCATTTTGTACCATGTGTCAAAATTTCTTTTTTTAAGACTGAGTAATGTTCCATTGTATGTATATGCCACATATTGTTTATCCATTTATCCATTGATGGTCTTTTAGTTTTTATTTGTGCGAAAATGCATTCATTTTTTCCATATTTTTAAAGGATGTTTTTACTGAGTAAGACAGTTCTAGGTCAGGGTTTATTTTCTTTTACTCACTGAAGATAAGCATTCCTCTGTCTAAATTATGATATTTAGCTTGTCCATTGAGTCTTTATTTTTGGACATCGTATTTTTCAGTTCTCAAAATTTGTTTCTCTTCCAAATTAGACATGTCTCTTGTATAGTTTTATATTTCACTGAGGAAAATTTCAAGTTTGGCTTCTGTTTTCTTGTACATAGAGTAAATGTAGTTGTTTCATTTACACTCTGTGTCTGATACTTTCAGTATTTGAAGTCCCTGCTCTGGTGTCTTGGCTTATTAGATGCTGGTTATAAATACTGGCTGTGCTGGTTATTATTCATGTTAGTTATGTTACATAAAGGGGCCACAGATACTGACCCATTGCTCTAGGTGAAATACAGGGCTGGGTTCTTGCAAGTCTCTGGTCACGTCTTCATCAGCTGATCAATTACATAACCTGGTTTTATGTGTGTTTCTGTTTGAGGACATCTTATTTAATATTATTTATTAATTAACATTGAACTCATGGCCATGAACACTATAACTCATGCCTGAATGAAGCTTATTTAAACAAACATTTATTCTCCATAAGGCATATCATAGCCTTCTTTTGCTGAGAAACACTAGGTGAGACTTCAACACTATACATGAGGGCCATTAAACTGAAATCACCAACAGGAAGCACAAAAATGTGAAAAACATGGCACTAAATACTGTGAAAAGGACATTGTTTGTAATAGGAGAGCTGAAGGAAGAAGGCTGAGTGACACCTTGTTCAGCCTCATGTGAGAACATGGGCATCAGTTTATTCAAATTTTTTTGCTGCTCTATGCCTGCAAATGACCCCTAAAGCACCCAGATTTTTTATCACAAATAATTTTAGGTGAGTAGGTGAATTTGCAAATACAGAATCCATGAATAATGAAGATTAAATATGTTAGCTGGGCATAGTATTTGAAAATTATTTGTAGAAATATGAAGCCTTGGGTTGGGCATGGTGGCTCCCATGGTAATCCCAGCACTTTGGGAGGCTGAAGCTGGAGGATCACTTGAGACTAGGAGTTCAAGACTAGCCTGGGCAACATAGCAATATCCTGTCTCCATGACAAAAAAAAAAAAAAAAAAAAAAGCCAGATATAGAGGTACATGCCTGTAGTCCCAGCTATTTGAGAGGCTGAGATAGGAGGATGCTTGAGCCCAGGAGGTTGAGGCTGCAGTGGGCAAAGGCCACACCACCGTACTCCTGTCTGGGCGACAGAGTGAGACCCTGTCTCTAAAAAGACAAAATGAAGCCTTGAGTAAAGTTATCTTCATTTAATATCTGCTGGATGCCTTGGATAGCAATCTAGGAGTAGCCTAACCCAAGTTTAAAGCCTAAAGTTTCCTGGTCCACTCAGGTGACATGAATCTAGGGTGCAGATCTGTGCAAGATTTAGTTTATTTTTTGGTTCCCCATTGACATTAACGATCAGCCATTTGTGATTTCAGCTTAATGTGGCAATTGACTTATCAGAGTCCTAATTTTGTCTTACATTTTAAATTGTTCTCAGTGGAGTATTCATCTGAATTATTCAATCTGATATTTACAGAAGCAGAACCTTCCTTTTATCCTTCTTAATTTTAATTTCTCCTGCCTTGTGATTTTCGTATTACCATCTCCTCTTTTTCCTTCTTCTTTCCTAGGTTTGTGAAGCATTTACTACAGTTGTTATAAGATTAAATAACTGTTCTCATTTAAGTACATTTCTTAAACTTACACTAAGATGTGACCTTCAGATTGCTTTAATAATGTAAGAAATAAGTTCATTTTAAAAAGAAATCTGGATGTTGGAACAAGACCTTGAATTTTTATTTTTTTTTTCTTTTTAATTCATAATATTATTCATTACCCATCATGTTATTTTGGGAAGGTATAGCATAAAATATGATTTAGTAATTTAGCTTTCACCTAAGTTTTTATTGTACTTTATGATATAGGACTGGCTGTCATGAAAAAGTTAAATTTGATGGACATTCTCTCATCAAATTTGTCCTTGTATTATTTTATTTTATTTTTAATTTAATTTAATTTAATTTAATTTTATTTTTTGGTGAGACAGGGTTTTACTCTGTTGCTCAGGCTGGAGTGCAGTGCAGTGGTCCGATCATAGCTCACTGCAGCCTCGACCTCCTGGGCTCAAGCTCTCCTCCCACCTCAGTTTCCTGAGTATCTGGGACTACTGGTGCACACCACCACGCCCAGCTAATTTTTGTAGTTTTTTATAGAGACGAGGTTTTGGCATTTTGCCCAGGCTGGTCTTGAACTCCTGGACCCAAGTGATCCTCCTGCCTTGGCCTCCCAAAGTGCTGGGATTACAGGCATGAGCCACCTCCCTTTATTCTGTTTTTCAGGGAGCAGCCCCACTGATCCTACTTAACTTAAGTCAGAATGATTTGGCTCTTCTGCTCAGAAACCTCCTGTAGCGTCCCATATCAGTAAAAGCCGAAAGTCCTTTCAGGAATCTATAGGACTCTAGATGAGGTGTCCCCAACCCCCAGCCTGTGGACAAGTACTGGTCCCTGACCTGTTAGGACCTGGGACACACAGCAAGAGGTGAGCGAGCATTACCACCTAAGCTCCGCCTCCTGTCAGATCAGATGCGAGGTTAGATTCTCATAGGAGTGCGAACCCTATTGTGAACTCTGCATGCGAGGGATCTAGGTTGCACGCTCCTTACTAACTCTAACTAATGAATCTAATGAAATCTAATGCCTGATGATCTGAGTGGAACAGTTTCAGCCCGACACCTTCTCCCCCTACCTCTTCCAAGGTCTATGGAAAAATTGTCTTCCATGAAACTGGTCCCTGGTGCCAGAAAGGTTGGGGACTGCTGCTCTAGATGATCTGGCTCCTCATTACCTCTCTGATCTCAGTTTCTGCTACTTCCTGCTTCATGCTCTTATTGCAGCTTTTTTGTCTTCCTGGAACATGTCAGGCATTTTCCATCTTAAAGCCTTGCTATTCCCTATGTCAAGAAAACTCTTTCCCACAGGTATCTATATCGAGCTTCCTCACATCGTTTTAATTTTCCTTAAAAGTTGCCGTCTCAATGAGACTTCCCTTGGTTACTTTAGTCTTCCCCAAAGTATTATATTCCCTCCTTTGCTATATTTTTCTCCTAGCATTTTTCGTACTATATAACCTTTTTTCTCCCCCATGGAAATATAAACTCCGTGAAAGCAGTGATTTTTGTCTACCATCCTCCCAGTGCCTGTCAGAGAGTCTGGCACTTAATATTTGTCAAGTGAATAACAAATGCATGAAATTTATTACCATAACCTATTTAAGAGCTTTAAGTGTTAATTAGATAGCTGGGTGTGGTGGCTCATGCCCGTGATCCCAGCACTTTGGGAGGCCGAGGCGGGTGGATCACCTGAGGTCAGGAGTTAGAAAACAGTCTGGCCAACATGGCGAAACTCCGTCTCTACTGAAAATACAAAAAAATTAGCTGGATGTGGTGGCGTGTACCTGTAGTCCCAGCTACTCGGGAGGCTGAAGCACCAGAATCGCTTGAACCTGAGAGGCGGAGGTTGCAGTGAGCCGAGATTGCGCCACTATACTTCAGCCTGGGTGAAAGAGCAAGATTCCATATGAAAAAAAAAAAAGTATTAATTAGATAAATCTGTATCAAAAAGTAAGTAGAGACTGCAAGTGTAAGAACTTTGACATTGCATTTATTTTTATTTTGAAATAATTTCAAACTTAAAGAAAAGTTGTAAGAATAATGCTTTTTCTTCTTTATCTTTTTTTCTGAGATGGAGTTTCGCTCTTTGCTGCCTGGGCTGGAGTGCAGTGGCACGATCTTGGCTCACTGCAGCCTCCGCCTCCCGGGTTCAAGCGATTCTCCTGTCTCAGCCTCCTGAGTAGCAGGGATTACAGGCACCTGATACCACGCCCAGCTAATTTTTGTATTTTTAGTAGAGATGGGGTTTCACCATGTTGGCCAGGCTGGTCTTGAAGTCCTGACCTCAGGTGATCCACCCGCCTCAGCCTCCCAAAGTGCTGGGTTTACAGGCATGAGCCAGTGCACTGAGCACATAATGCTTTTTCTAATGAACCATTTGAGAGTGAGATGCTCCTTTACTGTTGATTACTTTGGTGCATTTTTGTAGCATTGACATGCTCTTATGTAAAAAGAGTATAACTATTAAAGCAAGATATTAATAGTGATATATCAATCACTACCATCTGATCATCAGACCCCATTCAGATTTTGCCAATTCTTTCGATAATGTCTTTCATTGCAAAATTCTAACCCAGGATCTGTGCATTTGATTGTCAGGGCTCTTTACTCTCTTCATGTGGAATGGCTTCATAGTCTTTCCTTTTATGGCTTTTATGCTTTTAAAGATTACATGCCAGTTATTTTGTAGAGCATCCCATAATTAGAGTTTGTCTAATGTTTCTTCCTGATTAGATGTAGGTTATACATTTTTGGCAGCAATGTCACAAAAGTGATGTTTTGTTCTTATTGTATTCTGAATTGATACTCAATTTTGGTTTATTCCATTATTACTGATGTTAACTTTGATCACCTGAAGGTAGTGACTACTAGTTTTCTCCACTGTAGAGGTACTCTTTTGTCCTTTGTTATTATTTTCTAAGGAGGTAATTTGAGACCATGTAAATATTATGTTTCTCTTTGACTCATTAGTTTTAGCATTTATTGATGTTTCTTGCCTAACTTAGTTGTGACTAAGATGAATGTCAAGTGGTGACTTTCTAATTTGTTGTTTCTTCAACATTCATTAGTTGGGATTCTCTTATAAGGAAACTCTCCATTCATAGATTCATTATTTATTTTTATCAATATGGGCTCATGGATTCTTGTTTTATTCAACAAATGAGTCATAGTGTTTTCGTATTATGTATTTTGATATCCAGATTGTCTCAGATGTGGCCAGCGGGATTCCCTTCAAACTTCTGTGCCCTTTAACATGTCCCCATCATTCTCTGAGCACCTTCTTACTCTCTGGCACAGTAAGATGGTCCCAGCTCCGCTTGTGATATCCCTGCTTCAGCCCTGGAATCAGCAGTTTTCCAGAGACTCTTGATTCTTTTTTGTGTGGAGAATGATATTTAGAACCCTAAATCTGGGTATCAATTGTGTTCCCTGTATTGAGTGTCACTGTTGTCAAGCTCTTTCATTAAAAATAAAATTAGGAAATAATTGTATGACATACTCACTTATTCTTACGATTTCTGCATCTGTATATTAAAAACTGAATTTGTATTGACATTTCAATTTCTATCTCACACCAAAGAGTCCATTCTAGCTTCATCCTTTTTATATTTGTAACTTCCAGTGAGAAACAGGGGTTCAGTTATCTACAATATATGACTTATATGGTTCATCTTCTGTATATAACCAATCTCTCAATCATGCTGGCCACTACTTCTTGTGGTCACTTCCTTGATTGGGCTTGACCCTTTTCTCCTAGCTTCCCCCTACAGTACCAGCAGATTCTTACTTCCTTTGGCCATGCCTAAATACTTAAGAAAAGAAAGGCCTTCACATTTTAATGCATACTTTGGGGATTCCCATATCCCACCAAAGCTTATGCTTTGATCTTTAGGTGGAATTGCTTTATGATAAAAGGGTTCTTTTACTGTTCATTTTGGATGATGTGGATGAGTCTTAGAGTTTTATTCTGGTCTTTACAAATATGATTTGCTATTTTCTAAACTTATCTAATGACTAACTTAAGGCTTGTTATGATAAGATTATAAGAAAACACTTTGGGGAATCTTGAGAGTTTTCTTTGTAATTATAATTTATAATTCTGTAACATAGAGAACATGATTAACATGAAGCTCTAAATGTATCCAATAGTTTTGCTTTCTTATCAGTGAATCTATCAGTATACTAGTAGTAACTGGAGAATTTCAAAGATATGCTTACACTTTAAACCCTCAATTTCCAGTGCTTCAGGTGGGTTTGCACATATGACAAGACAGGCAAGGAGTAAGAAGGAGCCAGTATAAGAATTAAAAAGGAGACCGGGCACGGCGACTTATGCCTGTAATCCTAGCACTTTGGTGGCCGAGGCGGGCAGATCACTTGGGCTCAGGAGTTCGAGACCACCCTGGGCAACATGGCTAAACCCTGTCTCTACTAAAAAAAAAAAAAAAAAAATTAACCAGGCGTGGTGTCGCCCGCCTGTAATCCCCACTGCTCTGGAGGCTGAGGCATGAGAATTGCTTGAACCCAGGAGGCGGAGGTGGCAGTGAGCCAAGATTGTGCCACTGCACTCCAGCCTGGGGGACACAGCGAGACTCTGTCTCCAAAAAAACCAATAATAATTAAAAAGGACTTGAGTGATACATTTATTAATTTGGCAAATATTTATTGATGATTTCCTACATATCAAGCTGCTCTGCTGGAAGACTGTAAGTCAAAATAGGGTTCTTGACTTCATGGAATGGTTTCCTCACTTCAGCATTTTTGAACCCGATCATTCTTCCTCGTCATAGCAGGCTGTCCTGTGCGCTATAAGATGATTAGCAGCATCCCTGGCTTCTGCCCGTGAGGTCAGCTGTCTCCAGCCTTCTTGGCACCGGGGGCTGCTTTCATGGAACACAGTTTTTCTGTGAACCTGGGTGGTGTGTGGGAGGGGGGACGGTTTTGGGATGAAACTGTTGCACTTCAGACCATCAGGTATTAGTTAGATTCTCAAAGGACCATGCAACCTAGATCCCTCGCATGCACAGTTCACAATAGGGTTCGCACTCCTGTGAGAATCTGTTGCCACAGCTGATCTGATAGGAGGTGGAGCTCAGGTGGTAATGCTCGCTCACCTGCTGCTCACCTCTTGCTGCGTGGCCTGGTTCCTAACAGCCACCATCCGCGGCCCAGGGGTGGGGACCCTGCACTTGGTAACAGCACCTCCTATCTCTCCATCCCTCAGCACATTGGCAGTAACCAAGAATGTCTCTATGTGTTGCCAAATGTCCAGTGAGGGTGGGGAGCACATCACTACTCCTGGTTTTGAGTACCACTGCTCACAGTAAAATCAAATGCAGATACAGGCATTCTACAGCTAATCATTCAGTGTAATTATCAACTGTGGTAAATGCTAATTATGGAAAGTACAGAGGGCCATGAGACTGTAACCAAGAAAATAATGACTCCATAATAAATTTGGAGTTCAGTCAAACAAATCAAAGTTTCCCTTGAGTGTATAGTAGGTATTTGATGTCAGAAAAGAAACTTAAGACATGGTCTTTTACTTTAAGGATAAGCTGGCTGTGTATCTTCCAAACCAGTACCCTGTTGAGAGTGAAAGCGTGCTCTATAATAAGGAAACTGGGAAAATAAATAGAGATGAGGCAAATTGTACATAATCTACTTCCAGGCTTTCATTATCTACCCAGAGAATAAGACCAGTATATGAAACACACAGAGAATAATTCAAGACAGTATATACATTAAGCGCTAACCTATGTCACATTATTAGAAGAGAGGGTTCATTGTTACTTCTCCATCTTTGCTTTATAGAAGGCTTCATGGGAAAAGATGGGATTCTAGCCCTTCAATTTAGTTCTGGAGGTTTGCCATAAAATATCTCAATGTTCCTATTCAGTTATTTTACACTCTACTACCTAAGCCCCTAACCTGTTCAAGAGTTGTGTTTGACATAGCAGACAATAGAGAACAACTGGAGAGTCTTGATGAGGAATATATTATGATGAAATGGTTACAACTCCTAGAAGAAACATTCATTTCTCTACCAACCTTGATCAGCATTGAGGTACAAAAGAACAGTATTATACAACTATCAGATGTACATACTGAAAGGACATTTCTTTCTTAAACCAAATTCTAGAAGTTTTTTATTGAAAACAGATTTCCTAGGGTCATTTGTGTGTATATATATCTAAGGGGACATTGTTGGCTTGTTTCTCTTTCAATTTTTAGGTCAATTTTGAAGATACTAGATTTTGAGAAACTATGTTTAGGGGAAAGGGGAAGAAACTGTAGGAAAGTGAAAAATCGTACGCTTTTAGGTTAGTGCTAATCTGCTTACGTAGGAACTTTCTGCATCCAAATACCTTGCTTTATATTCCCTAGCTTTCTTTTTAAAATGTTGCTTTTACTTTAATTTTTTACACTGCTTAAGACCCCATAGATTATACATTTATTTAAGTTCATAGTCATGGAACTTAATTACTTTTAAAAAGGTTTAGGCATGTTCTTTCACTTACTCCTTAGAAGCAGTTCGCATTCTTTGTGTTGCCTGTGAAATCGGATGGTGATATAGGGCTTAAATTTTGAAATATGGGACATTTGGAGAACTTAAGGCAAATCAAAATGGCATAACATGATGGAGGAAGCATGAAGACCTTGTGACTGGTAGAAACAACAAGAGGATGTAGGAAAAGACTATGTATTGGGAAAGGGGGTAGAAACTATGCCAAAATTCCATTTGCCCACTTCAGATGTCTGCTTGGGACGAAGTCTGTGCCTGGGAAAAGGGATGAAAACTTTAACTTCCTTTCCCCCCACACTTTCATCCCAAGAGCCTAGAATTAGAGCTGATTTAATGGTACTAACTAGTACTGTTAAACTAACTAGTACTGTTAATAGACCTTTATGACAGCATCCTCAGAGTTAACTATTTATATAATTGTTCTCTGGAGCAAAGCATTCAGAGTTCCCAGAAGCTACAGTGAATTTCACACCACTTATAAACCAAGGGACTACCTGCAAAGTGTTTCTGTTATTTTAAAATCTAAAGTCTATTTGAATTTGAAAAAATAAAATGAAAAGTTGAAAATACCAAATCTAAGACTTGTGTGTAATTGAAATGAGGTTGTTTTAGAAAATTAAATTTGGCAAGTGATTAATGCTTAATAAGGAGTAATTGTTTTATCTATTTTAGGGAAAAATTAATTTAACAAACCTATTATTATGTGAAATTTAGGTAATGAACATGGGCAGTACATAATTTCCGTAACATTTATAGCATCGACCACAAAAAGGCTGAATTAGTGTCATCAAATACAAAGAATGTTCATTTCAGAATCAAAGCTGTTCGGAAAGCAGTGCTCATGGTTACTATAATTAATTCAACATTTCAGGACTATTTAAAATTGTTATGTCATATCACTTTAGTAGATATACCTTTCAGATGCATATATGCCTGATTTTGGATAAGTGTATTTTTTGTACTTTTCAGTTTAAAAATTTTTTTCTTAGTTAAAAATGTTCTCTCATTTAATGATTTTTGGTTTTGTATCAAAAGCAAAGAAACTTTCAGTTATCTCTTAAATAATAAAACAGAGGTCGCCCAACCTGCACTGTTTTGGACCCTGTATACAGCATTAACCCAGCTCAACAGCTGGCTGTGATTGGCTAGCCAATCAGAGTACCAATTCTGTAGTGTCCTCCACCTTTCCCTGAAGCTAGTAGAGTTTTGGTTGAGTGGGGTATAAATGTGAATAGCAGATTAGCTAATTAAAATGGTCCTAGATAGTTGTAGGCTCCAGTGCTGAAGTTCCTGGAGGATAATCCAACCTCCCTAAACTCTCTTGATACCGAAGAACTCACCTGGAATAGCTACAGCCTACTTTTCTGTCCCCCTCCCCACCTTCCCTGCAAGCTCTCTTCCCCTGTGGGCTGGGTCCTGTTTCAGCTCTTCCATGCATGTCTCAGGAACTGTTCCTGTAGACAAAGGTCCATTCAGCACTAGAATGCTTTTTCCAGGCTGCATTTCTAAATCTGAGTCCCTGTGTATCTTCCAGATCAAAGTGCCCCTCTCCCCACAACAATGGACTAGATTTGCCAGGGCCTCATAGCAGAATATCCTGTCTGACTCTCTCTTCACTAGACTAAGGAGAAAAAATAACAAAACAAAAATGAAGAATTTATTTTAAAAGATGAATATAGCATTCCCCCCTCCCCTAAAAAGAAATGAGCAACTATTACTTACACAAAATGTAGATACAACTGTATTCCTTGTAGGATTACTTATTAAAGCTTTCTTGATACGTAAATCTAAATCCAAGCGTTTGGCATGAATGTCTGCTTCATTTATCATTGCCTTGGATATGCTTTAAAGAGTCTGTCACAGCTGGTCTACAAATGGATTTTTGCACACACCAAAACTTGCCTTGTGGCAAATGTTTTATAAAAGTTGTATAGAGGCTTCAAATATTGTTCTTCATGATTCTTTGCTGCTAATTTTCCAGAAGTCCTTCTCTTTCAGAGTCTTTTTTTTTTTGAGAAGCATTTAAGAAAATTATGTTGAGTTTGGTGTAAATTAGAGTTGTGACAAATTATAGAGCAGTTTTCACAAGTAAAATTGGGCCAGTTAGCTCAGAATTAGAAAATTAATCTTTTTCCAAAGCATTATCTCACTTTCTGTGTGTTTGTAGTGTTTATAGACTGATAGTATCAGTACCAACAGCTAAAACAAAAGTCAGTTTTTTTTCTTTTAAAAAACATTATTTCTTTTTAATGAACAGTTATTGAAGTATTGGCCTTAATTGGCTAGGTGTGGTGGCTCATACCTGTAATCCCAGCACTTTGGGAGGCCGAGGCGGGCAGATCACCGGAGGTCAGGAGTTTGAGGTCAGCCTGGCCAACACAGTGAAACTCCGTCTCTACTAAAAATACCAAAATTAGCCAGGTGTGATGGCAGGCACCTGTAGTCCCAGCTACTCGAGAAGCTGAAGCAGGAGAATCACTTGAACCCAGGAGGCAGAGTTTGCAGTGAACTGAGATTGTGCCACTGCACTCCAGCCTGGGCGACAAAGGGAGACTCTGTCTCAAAAAAAAAAAAAAAAGATTAGCCTTAATCAACAAGCATTTACTAATAACTTACCGGTAAAGAGTAGTATATTCAGATTTAAAACATTTTGAAGAAATGCCCAGAAGTGGAGGACAAAGGCATTGAGCTTGCTGTCCTTGTAAAATACCGTGTGTGCGTGCGTGCGTGTGTGTGTGTGTGTGTGTGTGTGTATACGTGCATGCATGTGAGAGGGGAGAGAAGGTGGGAGAAGGAGGCATACAGTAGTTGCAAGTTAACATAATAGAGAATTTTTAAAACCTTAGGACACATCTAAAGATGATACAAAATGTATGTTAATGCAAGATAAAATTTGGTTTATTAGGGACAGTGAATTATGATTTGAAATAATTGGGGCAAATTTAACCAAGTAGGGTTAAAGCATTACTTTGAAGGAAAGGAGGGTATTAAGCAGTACATAATTTTGAGCTAAATTCATAGGCAAATCAATTTCTATTTAGAAACTGAAGCACTTTCTTTATAAAAGCATGACTTCGCCTCTTTATTTGCTCAAGTATATATGAGGCCATATTGCATTTAGCCTATATGAGAAGGAGAAGAAAGCAGAGAAGGAGTTATGAGGGAGATTGGAAGAGAATAAAAAGATCACTTCACTTTAGATGCCAAGCAAGAGCAATTATTACAGCATTATTTCAGGATTCAAGGACAACAAGGCCTGTAAAGAGGCCACTGATAACCTCATTGGTGACTTTGTGGAGATCAGTAGTAGTGATGGTAAATAGCAAATTGGCAGGAGTTGAAGAGTGAATGGATACTGAAGAAATGGAGACAGTAATCATAGATTTTTCTTCTGAGTTATTTTTTGATAAAAGGAAAGAAAATAGATTACAGCAAGCCAAAGAAAGATGATTTTTGGATGGGATGTTTTGAGCATATTCATAGGTTGAAGGAATGGAGTCAAAATACAGAGGGAAATTCAGAAAGATCCAAGAGAGAGATTCATCATTTGACATAATCAAATCTTAGATGACAGTAAAGATGGGACACAAGAAAGAGGGGTTAGTTCTTGAAAACTAGAATGTATATGACTTCCTTTGTTATAAGTAAAGGGGGTATTCTGAATGTTTGAAGTAGAGAGCTGGGAAGTTGAAGTTATTCACGTTTAATGGTTTCCCTGCTTTCTAGGAAGTAGGGATATTATAAAATGAGAAAGATGGGGTTGGGGGAGAGGGGTTTGAAGAGGGATAAAGAAGATGTGGCATGATTCCTTTAGAAAACAATCATGATCAAGTCAACTAGAGATGAATGAAATAATTTCCCAGGTTTGCATGAATTATGATAGATTTATTTGGTTTAGTTTCGTGATTTAGTATAGCAGTACTCAGAAGAGTTCCACATAAAATGGATTATATCATATACCTAGGATGGAGACTGATAAGATGTGTATAATGAAAGAAAAAGTGGATTAGAAAAATATAGAATGATCAGGGATTCCATAGAATGAGACAAGTAGAAGGGAACTTTTCAACTGAGAAAATAGGGAGAGAATGAAGGACTAGAAGTGGTAAGGAAAAGGAAGGAGGAAGTTCAGTAGAACTGAGGAAATTATAATATTAGCTTAAAATATTAAAGTATTCATGCAACAGTGTGTGAGGGCCTGCCATATGCTAGGTACTGTTCATTTGTATTTACAACAGATGAAGTACCAAGTAGTACTTCAATGGAGTTGCCACTAGATGTCACTCTGATTCGTATGGTAAGGCTAACCTTGACACGTACTCAAGATTGGGGCTTTGAAAGTCAGACCTGTATAAACAGGCAATTTTTAATAGCCTATGCAGATCAATTATTATCCAGAAATCTTATTCATATAACTAAACTACTTTTGAGAGAATATTCTCATGAGAACAAAACCTCTCAAATTTGAAAACTTCAAGTTATTAATACTGTGTTTGCATTATTGATTTATTTTTATTATCTTAATCACACTAAATAGTATTTCTCAGTGAACTTTAACATTTTCTGAAATTCTACATTAAAGTTTGTGAATTTATTTTCTTTATATTGTTTTATTTACTTATCTGCTGAATTGGTTCTGGTTTTATAGGGACTAATGAATTTTTATAAGCACTAATAAAGCTGCTTCTTTCTAAGTGGTGAAGATTGTGCATGTGAACACCAAAGTTGTGAGTATAGTTTTACACTGTGTGGCCTTCCTATCAACTAGAAGGAAGAACACTGTCTATCCAACTCTTGTTTTTTTTTTTAAGTCCCATTCTTGTTTTCTGTTCAATCAGTATAGCTTTGCCTCTTTATCTTCATGTTGAAATAAAGGGTCATGTTTAGAAAGCTTGTCAGAATTCCTGCCTATCCACAATTTTTTACAACTTGGTTCTTTCAAAACTCTGAACAATTTTGGATAGCTATGCAATATAAATATTAAAACACAAAAAACCAGACACACCAGCAAACCATGTTGATTTCCACTGAATCATATAAACAATACCCAGGCATGCTATATGTTTTAAAAGATATATTTATGTTTGTGTATCTTTTAATTTTTTCTTCATTTGACAGGGGAAAGATGTGAGATTATACAGCATTGCTAGAACCGTTGGGCCTTAGTATAAAACAATTTACAGGTCATTATGGTTGAAAAAGCATAGCATCACATTTTTTGCATGTGCTATGCCTAGGTATATTTCAGTGCTTGCTTCAGACATCGTTTCATTACTGACTCTTACCGATCCTTGTTATTCATTATGGTGTTAAGTAATTTTTAGCCATGTTTGCAAGAAACCTATACTATGTCTTAAGTGAACTGTCTTACATTTATCCCTTTTGATTTTTTTTGTGTTTATGGATAAAGTCAGTTTACAATAAGTTTAATGTGGTTTTCTATGGTAATTCCCAATGTGATACTAAGAGTTTCATTTGCAAAGGTACCTATTTACTAAGCATGTTGTTAGGTGACATTTTGGTCTGTTCATTGAAGATATCTCCCTTTAATCTC